>NC_000002.12:25843088-25994603 GCF_000001405.40 Homo sapiens | reverse complement strand
TAATTTACCAAGGCTGGGCGCGGTGGCTCACGCCTGTAATCTCAGCACTTAGGAAGGCCAAGGCGGGTGGATAACCTGAGGTCGGGAGTTCGAGACCAGCCTGACCAACATGGAGAAAGCCCATCTCTACTAAAAATACAAAATTAGCCAGGCGTGGTGGCACATGCCTGTAATCCCAGCTAATAGGGAGGCTGAGGCAGGAGAATCTCTTGAACCCGGAAGGCAGAGGTTGTGGTGAGCCGAGATCGCACCATTGCACTCCAGCCTGGACAACAACAGCGAAAATCTGTCTCAAAAAAAAAAAAAAAATTACATTAAGTTAAGCAGCCATTCAAAATGATGGTTGTGGCTGGGCACGGTGGTTCACACCTGTAATCCCAACACTTTCAGAGGCCAAAGATGGCGAATTGCTTGAGTCCAAGAGTTTGAGACCAGCCTGAGCAACATAGTGAAACCCCATCTCTACAAAAAATAAAAAACAAAAAAATTAGCGGAGTGCCGTGGTGCTGTAGTCCCAGCTACTTGGGAGGCTGAGGTGGGAGGATCACCTGAGCACAGGAGGTCAAGGCTGCAGTGAAACGTGGTTGCACCACTGCACTCTAGTCTGGGTGACAGAGTGTGACCCTGTCTCAAAAAAAAAAAAAGGAAAAGAAAAAAAGATAGTTGTGAAAACTATTAATAGCTTAATTCACCATTTATTCATTAAGCAAATATCTCCTGGGGTCTTATCATGAACCAGGCATATTTCTTTTTTTTTTTTTTCCCGAGACGGAGTTTCACTCTGTCGCCCAGGCTGGAATGCAAAGGAGCCATCTCGACTCATGGCAACCTCCGCTTCCCGGGTTCAAGTGATTCTCCTGCCTCAGCCTCCCAAGTAGCTGGTACTACAGGTGCCCGCCACCACACCCGGCTAATTTTTGTATTTTTAGTAGAGACGGGGTTTCACCATGTTGGCCAGGATGGTCTCGATCTCTTGTCCTCATGATCTGCCTGCCTCAGCCTTCGAAAGTGCTGGGATTACAGGCATGAGCCACTGTGCCGGGCCTGAACCAGGCATATTTCTAGGCACTGGGAGAAATTATCTCATTGCACATTAATGGGAAGAAGAAAACATAAACAGATAAAGAAATATCTAGAATGTCATATTGTGGTAAGTGCTGTGAAGAAAAACAAAATGGAGTAAGGATATAGGGAATGACAAAGAAGTATTTTAGGAAGCACGGACAAAAAAGCTTCTCTGAGGAGATGACATTTGCAAATACAAGTGAATGACAGGAAGGAGGGAAGCCGAGTGAGACGCTGGGAGAGAGAGCTTGCAGGCAGAGGAAAGAGCAAGTGCGCAGGCCCTCAAGCTGGAAGGTGCTTGGCAGGACTGAGGAACAAGGAGGCCAGTGTTGTTGGATGAGAGTAGGGAAGGGGGGAATAGGAACACATGATACAGGAGAAGGGACCAGGAGCTTGATAGAGTACAGTGTACGTGCCCCAACAAGGACTTTGGATTTCATTCTTTTCTTTCTTTCTTTTTTTTTTTTTTTTTTTTTGAGGCAGAGTCTCTCTCTGTCACCCAGGCTGGAGTGCAGTGGCATGATCTCGGCTCACTGTAACCTCCGTCTTCCGGGTTCAAGTGATTCTCCTGCCTCAGCCTCCCAAGTAGCTGGGATTACAGGCATGCACTACCATGCCCGGCTAATTTTTTGTATTTGTAATAGAGACAGGGTTTTGCCATGTTGGCCAAGCTGGTCTTGAACTCCTGACCTCAGGTGATTCGCCCACCTCAGCCTCCCAAAGTACTGGGATAACAGGCGTAAGCCAGTGCGCCCAGCCTGGATTTCGTTCTGAGAGGGATGAGACGTCATTGGAGGATGGAGAGGAGGAGGTAGGATGATTTGATATGTAGTTCTGAAGGAAGACTCTAGCTGTTCTGTCGCAGAGGAAGAGTAGGAGGATAAGGGTGGAACCAGGGGTTCCTGTTAAAATACTACTGCAGCGTGCAGGTGAGAGATGTAGGGGGCATGGACTAAGAGGGTAGTGGTGGTAGCATGGAGAGTTTTGGAATCAGGATCAACAGATTTTCTAAGTAGAACCGGGATAGCATTTGTTGATGAATTGTATTTAGGGTAAGAGGAAGAGGAGTCAACATGTACGATGCTTTAAAACAAAATTGAGACAATTCTATATAGAGTTTGGTCAAAACTCTTTTAAAAATGTTCTTAAATTACTTTTGGAACAAGACACTTACTTATAGCAAATTAGAAGAACTCGAGTTGGGGAGACACAATATATTCATAGATGGATGGATAGCACCATTTAAAAAAGCAGATGGTAATTGCACATCGTACAAATTGCCCCAGAAGGTAAGGAAAGGAAGAGGCCCCTAGGTCTGGAGGAGGCAGGTAGTGTTGAAAGAGGAAGGTAGAGTTAGACCAGATAGAGGTGGATTGAGGGCTGAGCCTCAGGGCTTAGGACAGGGTGGTAGGAAAAACACTGTCTTTCGAGTGGGAGGAATTAGGCTCAAGTTCCAGTGCAGCCACTTACCAGGTAAGTGAATGTGAAGATTAGATAAAACATCTGTGACCCACCCATTAGGTTCTCAGTAAAGGGGAACAACTATGAACTGTTCTTTTTATAATATCCAGAGTCTTAATTTTCAGATTTTTCTATGATTTTTTTATTTAGGTTGACAAATCCTGTTCACCAGAAATTACAGCAGAGATTGTAGACAGGAAGCTGCAGAGGAAAGAGGCACAATGAGAAATCAAGCTTGGACACATTTGGTAGACTCCTATAGTTAGGTAATAACTCATACAGTTAGGTAATTGCATAACGATTGATAGCCCAGAAATTGGAGCTCATCCAGTAATTCTGTCACATAGTCATGTCTCCCTCTGCTGGCAAAACTTGGTTTGTTTGTTTTTGGTTTTGGTTTTGAGATGTCGCCCAGGCTGGAGTGCAGTGGTACGATCTCGGCTCACTGCAACCTCCACCTCCCAGGTTCAAGTGATTCTCCTGCCTCAGCCTCCTGAGTAGCTGGGATTACAGGCTCGTGCCACTAGGCCTGGCTAATTTTTGTATTTTTAGTAGAGACGGGGTTTCGCCATGTTGGCCGGGGTGGTCTTGAACTCCTGACCTCAGGTGATTTACCACCCACCTCAGCCTCCCTAAGTGGTGGGATTACAGGCGTGAGCCACCGCACCTGGCCTGTTTTTTGTTTTGTTTTTTTAGAGACAGGGTCTCCCTCTGTTGCCCAGGCTGGTCTCAAACTCCCAGGCTCAAGGGATCCTTTTGCCTCAGCCTCCCGAAGTACTAGGATAACAGGTGTGAGTCATTACACCCAGCCAGAACTTGGTTTTTGTAGGGTAAATCCAAACCTGAATTACTTGTATTTGAACATTTGTAGACCCCAGGATTACCAAAGAGTGAACTCTGTCTTCTTTGTAGAATCTTACTGTGGCTGTCATTGGGACCACACTGGAAGAAGGTGGTGGAACGGGAATCCCCTGTGGAAAAATGACTTTTGTTGTTGTTGTTGTTGTTGAGACAGAGTCTCGCTCCATCACCTAGGCTGGAGTGCAGGGGCGCAATCTCAGCTCACTGCAACCTCTGCCTCCCAGGTTCAAGCGATTCTCCTGCCTCAGCCTCCTCAGTAGCTGGGACTACAGGCACCTACCACCACACCTGGCTAATTAAGGTATTTTTGGTAGAGGCAGGGTTTCTCCATGTTGGCCAGGCTGGTCTTGAACTCCTGACCTCAAGCAATCTGCCTGCCTTGGCCTCCCAAAATGCAGGGAAATACAGGCGTGAGACACTGCGCCCTGCCAAGAACTTTCATTATCAAAGGAAATGCAGCAAAGGAGCTTCTTCCTCCCACCAAGCCAGTGACGGGTCTGTATTCAATGAAGTTGTCATTCAAACCAGGACTGGGAAGCAACTGATCTGTACCTTACCATCATAGGAAGCTCACCCCGTAGCACAGGGGAAACACTAGGAGGGCTGCAGGTTTGGAGTCTGTAGACTGTGCCACTTGGCTGCGTTTCCTTTCTTAGTCACTTAATCAGTCTGAAGCTTAGGGTCCTCCTTATAATGTGAGGATATTAATAGTTTCTCCTTTCCTGGGATTTATGTGAAGATCAAGTGAGTAACAAATGTGATAATACTTTATTAACTGTTAATCACACTACAAATCTAAGGGTTTATTACTGTGATTTCTTTGTCTCACCTTTCCATTCTCTTGCCTTGAAGGTTTTTTTTTCTTTTCTTTGAGACAGAGTTTCGCTCTTACTGCCCAGGCTGGAGTGCAATGGCACGATCTCGGCTCACTGCAACATCCACCTCCTGAGTTGAAGCGATTCTCCTGCCTCAGCCTCCCGAATAGCTGGTATTGCAGGCGCCCGGCTAATTTTTGTATTTTTTAGTAGAGACAGAGTTTCTCCATGTTGGCCAGGCTGGTCTTGAACTCCTGACTTTGTTATCCGCCCACCTCAGTCTCCCAAAGTGTTGGGATTACAGGCGTGAGCCACCACGCTCGGCCTTTTTAATACATATTTATTTATTTATTTATTTATTTATTTATTTATTTATTTATTCTTGCCTTGAAGGTCTTTAAACATTCATTCATGGCCAGGTGCGGTGGCTGATGCCTGTAATCCCAGCACTTTGGGAGGCCGAGGCAGGTGGATCACCTAAGGTCGGGAGTTCGAGACCAGCCTGACCAACATGGAGAAACCCTGTCTCTACTAAAAATATACACAAAAAATTAGCTGGATGTGGTGGCGCATCCCTGTAATCCCAGCTACTTGGGAGGCTGAGGCAGGAGAATCACTTGAACCTGGGAGGCAGAGGTTGTGGTGAGCCGAGATCGCACCATTGCACTCCAGCCTGGGCAACAAGAGCAAAACTCTGTCTCAAAAAAAAAAAAATTAATTCATTTGCTTAATGGCCAATATTAACTATATTAACTATATAACAATATTATATAATAAATATATTAACTATATATATATATATATTTTTTTTTTTTTTTAAATAGGGTCTCTCTCTGTTGCCCAGGCTGGAGTGCAGTGATGCAATCTTGGCTCACTGCAACCTCTGCCTCCTGGGCTCAAGCCATCCTCCCACCTCAGCTTCCTGAGTAGCTAGGACTACAGCCACATGCCACCACACCTGACTAATTTTTGTGTTTTTTGTTGAGGTGAGGTTTTGGCATGTTGGCCAGGCTGGTCTCGAACTCCCGAGCTCAAGCAATCCACTGGCCTGGCCTCCCAAAGTGCTGAGGTTACAGGCATGAGCCACCGCCCTCGGGCAAATACTAACTACCTTAATTGCAGCCAGAACTGTGTTGGGTATGGGAAAAGGAGACACAAAGACAAAAAACATGGCCCTTGTCTTCAACACTTTATGGTGAGAGAGACAGACTCAGTTAGCCACAGTACAAGTCAAACTGTGATGAGTACTAGGGGTCTAGCTAAACAGAGAGCTATAGCAACATGAAGAGAGGAAATTTTTTTTCTTTTTTACAAATTAATTAATTTTTTTAAAAGATGGGGGTTTCAGTATGTTGCCCAGGCTGGTCTTGAACTTCAGCGCTTAAGTGATCCACTGGCCTCAACCTCCCAAAGTGCTGGGATTACAGGCATGAGCCATCGCACCTGGCCAAAAGGAAAAATAATTCTGGTAGAGTCAGGGGAGTCAAATAAGTCTTCCCAGAAGAGGTGATGCTCATATGGGACTTTATTTATTTGAAAAAATATTTATTGAGCACAAACTATGTACTGGAAGCTGCACTAGTCTTTGTGATCACAAAAATGAATAAAGCAGACATGTTATGACCTCACAGACCAGAGGAGGTGGACAAATTATGATTTAATTATACTTGTACTAATTTCTATGAAGGAAAGTACAGGGAAGGATGAGAACCTATTACAGAGGGACATACCTAGGTTGGTAAATCAAGAAAAATATCCTTAGGGAGGGACATTCAAGCTGAAATCCAAAGGATGAAGAGAAGGTATCTAGGCAAAGATGGTGAGGATAAATATTCTAGAAGCAGAGACACAATGTGTAAAGGCCCTGTGACAGGAAGCTGGAAGGGAGCTGAAGAAGGTCATTGTAACTAGAGCACGAGGGGCAAGATGGAGAGTGGCATGTGATGTGACAGACATGTGCACAGGTGCCATGTTGTGCAGGGCGTTGCTGACTGTGTTAATGATGTGGAGTTTACATTAAGACCAGTAAGAACTGGCCGGGCATGGTGGCTTACGCCTGTAATCCCAGCACTTTGGGAGGCCAGGGTGGCTGGATCACCAGGTCAGGAGATCAAGGCCATCTTGACCAACATGATGAAACCTCGTCTCTACTAAAAATGCAAAAATTAGCTGAGCTTGGTGGCGCGCACCTGTAGTCCTGGCTACTCAGGAGGCTGAGACAGCGAGAATCACTTGAACCCGGGAGGCAGAGGTTACATGGAGCCAAGATCGTGCCACTGTACTCCAGCCTGGCGACAGACAGGGACTCCATCTCAAAAAAAAAAAAAATTCAATGAGAAGCACTGGAAGCTTTTTTTTTTCTTTTTTTTGACAGAGTCTTGTTCTGTCACCCAGGCTGGAGTGCAGTGGCGCGATCTTGGCCCACTACAGCCTCTGCCTCCCGGGTTCAAGTGATTCTCCTGCCTCAGCCTCCCGAGTAGCTGAGACTACAGGCGCGCGCCACCACACCTGGCTCATTTTTGTGTTTTTAGCAGAGACGGGGTTTCACCATGTTGGCCAGGATGATCTCGATCTCCTGACCTCGTGATCCGCCAGCCTCTGCCTCCCAAAGTGCTGGGATTATAGGCATGAGCCACTGCACCCGGCCTGGAAGCTTTTTAAGCATGGGGTGACATGATCAGATAGGTGTTTTTACTTTTACTTTTTTTTTGAGACAGCGTTTCACTTTGTCTCCCAGGCTAGAGTGCAAGTGGTGTGATCTTGGCTCACTGCAACCTCTGCCTCCCAGGTTCAAGCAATTCTCCTGCCTCAGCCTCCCAAGTAGCTGGGATCACAGGCCTGTGCCACCACACCTGGCTGATTTTTTTGTATTTTTAGTAGAGATGGGGTTTCACCATGTTGGCCATGCTGGTCTTGAACTCCTGACCTCAGGTGATCCACCTGCCTTGGCCTCCCAAAGTGCTGGGATTACAGGCATGAACCATAGCGCCCGGCTGATTTTTACACTTATTTATTTATTTATTTTAGAGACAGGGTGTTGCTCTGTCGCGCAGGCTGGAGTGCAGTGGTATGATCATGGTTCACTGCACCCCTGAATTCCTGGGCGCTAGGGGTCCTCCCACCTCTGCCTCCCAAGTAGCTAGGACTACAGGCATGCACCACCACATCTAGCTTTTAAAACAAAATTTTTTTTAGAGATAGGGTTTTACTATGTTGCCCAGGTTGGTCTTGAACTCTTGGCCTCAAGCCATCTTCCCACCTTGGCCTCCCACAGTGCTGGGATTACAGGCATGAGCCACTGTGCCTGGCCAGATAGATGTTTTTAAAAGATTACTTTCTTTTTTTTGTTTTGTTTTTTTGAGACAGAATTTCGATTTTGTCACCCAGTCTGGAGTGCAATGGCACAATCTCAGCTCATTGCAACCTCCACCTCCAGGGTTCAAGTGATTCTCCTGCCTCAGCCTCCTGAGTAGCTGGGATTACAGGCGTGCACTACTTTTTGTATTTTTAATAGAGACGAGGTTAATTTTTGTATTTTTAGTAGAGACGGGGTTTCACCACATCAGCCAGGCTGGTCTTGAACTCCTGACCTCAGGTGATCCATCCACCTGAGCCTCCCAGAATGCTGGGATTATAGGCGTGAGCCACCGTGCCCAGTCAAAAAGATTGCTTTCTGAAGAATGAATACATAGGGGTAAGAGCAGACTCTGAATCTCCCCATTCAGAGAGGCCAGATTGGAGGCTACTATAGGAGGTCAGGCCAGAGAATACGATGGCTTGGTCATGATAGCCCCTATGGAAGTAGAAAATAAATGGATAAATCTGAGAAATACGCAGGAAGTTGGCAGAATTTCGTATTCAAATGGATTCAATGTATTCAAATGGATACACTGAGACTGAAGGAAGTGCTATTTACAGAGCTAGGTAATATTTTTGGAGGGGAGAATAATGAGTTCAGTGTGAACAAGTAGAAATTCAGGTACCTGGAGAGCCACCAAAGTGGCTCTGTCCATTACAGAGTCGGATATAGAGGTTTAGAACTCAGAAGAGAGGTCTGGACTGGAGATACAAATCTAGGAACTATATAGACAATAATGGAAGCCATAAGCTATAATGACACTAGAGGGTGGCACTGGAACTCACTGATGTCCTTGGTAAGAGAGGTCTCTATTGCGTAGTGGGAGGAGAAGCCATATAAGTTTGTTTTTTTAATTGAGATGGGGCTGGTCTCGAACGCCTGGCCTCAAATGCTCTTTCCACCTCGGCCTCCCGAAGTTCTGGGATTACAGTGTGAACCACCGCACTGGGCCAGTCATGTGAGATTGAGCAGTGGAATGAATAGAAGCTGAGGCTATGTAGACAGAAACAGACACAGTTAGGAAGACTGAGTGCAGTGGCTCATGTCTGTAATCCCAGCACTTTGGGAGACCAAGGTGTGAGAGTCACTTGAGTCCAGGGATTTGAGACCAACCTCAGCAACAGAGTGAGACCTGGCTAATGTTAAAAAATATTGTTTTTTGTTTGTTTGTTTTTGTTTTTTTGAGACAGAGTCTTGCACTGTCACCCAGGCTGGTGCAATCTCGGCTCACTGCAACTTCCACCTCCCGGGTTCAAGGGATTCTCCTGCGTCAGCCTCCCAAGTAGCTGGGATTACAGGTGCCCACCACCATGCCCGGCTAATTTTTTGTATTTTTAGTAGAGACAGGGTTTCATTATGTTGGTCAGGCTGGTCTCGAACTCCTGACCTTGTGATCCCCCTGCCTTGGCCTCCCAAAGTGCTGGGATTACAGGTGTGAGCCACCGCGCCCGGCCTAAAAAAATATTGTTTTTAATTATCCAGGTGTGGTGGCATGCAACTGTAGTCCCAGCTATTCGGGAGGCTAAGGCAGGAGGATAGCTTGAGCTCAGGAGTTTGAGGCTGCAGTGAGCCATAATCATACCACTGCACTCCAGCCTGAGTGACAGAATGAGACCCCTTCTCAAATAAATTAATTGAAATAAAAACAAAGTTAGGACATTTCGGGCAGAGGAGCAGCATGAGCAAACACAAGGAGACACAAAAAAGTGGGGTGTGTTTGGGGGACTTAAGCTAATCAGAGTGGCTGGAGACTTGAGTATGTAAGAGGAAGGAAAAATGAAGACAGCGGTGAAAATGGAGACGCTGAAGTGAACAGCCTTGAATGCAAAGGACAAGAGAAAAGAAAACTGCTATTTCTGGAGTGCCTCCTATGTCGTAGGAGTTTTTGCATACATTATCTCACTTAATCCTGATGTGTAAGGTAAGCCCTCTTTTTTTTTCAGAGACAGGTTCTCACTCTGTTACCCTAGGCTAGAGTGCAGTGGTACAATCATCGCTCACTGCAGCCCTGAACTTACGGGCTTAAGCGATCCTCCTACCTCAGCCTCCTGAATAGCTGGGATTACAGCTTGAGCCACCACACCTGGTCAATGTAAGCATTCTTATCCTCATTTATTCCACTGAAAAAATAGCTGTTCAGAGAAGTTAAATAATTTCCCCAGGATCACATATCTTTTTTTGTGTGTGTGAGATGGAGTCTTGCTTTGTCGCCAGGCTGGAGTGCAGTGGCGCCATCTAGCCTCACTGCAATCTCTGCCTCCTGGGTTCAAATTATTTTCCTGTCTCAGCCTCTCAAGTAGCTGGGACTACAGGCGTGCACCACCATGCCCAGCTAATTTTTGTATTTTTAGTAGAGATGAGGTTTCATGATGTTGGCCAAGATGGTCTCGATCTCTTGACCTCATGATCCACCCGCCTCGGCCTCCCAAAGTGCTGGGATTATAGGCGTGAGCCACCGCGCCTGGCCTAGGATCACACATCTTGTAAGCAACGCGATTCCAATCTCCCTCTCACACAAGAGGATCTGGGTAAGTCCCCTGCCAGGTGGTGACATCAAGTGGGGAGAACAGGGTGAGAATCCCTTTTATCCAGCGCTGTAGTGTCAGATACATTAGCCTAAGCAGAGAAAGGGTATTCAAAACCCAAAGCCGAATGCAACCAGAAAATAGTTGAAGAACTAAAGGCTCCATCCAGAAATCATGTTGTGAGAGCCAAGAGGGGTTAGTCTACGGAGCCAAAACCCCACCCCGTAATTGGTCCAAAAGCCATGTTAATCATAAGCAGTGGAGCTTAATCAAGGAGAGGGTGGAGGGAGGCCAGGGAGCTTCAGAAGCGGGCAAGCTCTCAGCTAAGTCTCAAGCCTCTAGTCCAGCTCACGCTAAAGTTCTGGGATGGGGAAGAGTTAAGGAGGTAAATTTTGTTGAGTTGGAAAACTAAACAATTGGGTCCTCTAGAGGATAACATGCTTGGAAATGTTTTGTGGAAAGACTCTTCTGGTGCCTCTGTGAAGAAGGGTCTCCAGGTTTCAGATAACAGCACCTCTCAATCTGGTTCTCATATGGAGAGTAAAGACAGACAGCTTGGGCTCAGTCCACAGACTCAACTGCCCTCTGCAGAGTGGACCATGGATAGGACTCTGGCTTGGTCCTTGGCCTTGTGGAATTACACTTTATTTGTATCCTACAGGAAAAAAAAAAAAGATTAAGACTCCCATAGAGGAACACCAAGCACAGACATGGTCTATCCAGGATACTCAAGGAAGCAGGAGCTGTCAGGCAATCCAAGCCAGGGCAGGACTTCTCATGGTACAGTACTTCATGATTCATTATTTCATTTGAGCCTCCCAACCATTCCATGAAGTAGTTGTTAATTATTTCTTTCCCGCCTCGAATTTTTAAAAAAATAAATGAGGAAACTAAGGCTGGAGCAAGGGGAGTGACTGCTCAAAGCCACTCCATTGGATGGCCATCAGAACTGGAACTTCAATCCAGGTTTTGTCTTAGGTAAATTCTGTGCCTCTTTCACTATAGAAAAAAAAAAATTGCTAAGGGAAGGCTTCGTGGAGGAGGAGGTGCTTGAACTGCCCAAGTGGCAGGGCACTAAGTGCCGAAGGGTGACCAGGCCTCTGGGCAAAAGCACAAAGATGCTGCACAGCAAAGCCAGTTAAAGAAACAAAACACGGTTCCGGGAATGTGCACTGCTTGAGGACAGGAAGGACCCAGATCCTAGAATGGGGCCTGGGGCTCAGCAGGCGCTGGATAACTGAAGAAATGGCTGTCTGGAACACAGATTTTTCTATAGAGGAGTAGTGGCGGTGAGGCTGCGAAGGCGGAAGATGGAGAGGCTTTCACACAAGGAAGGCGGTGGAGGAGGAGCGAGGGGGCTCCCGGGTGCTTGTGCGGACATAAGGTGCGAGAGAATCAGCTGGAAGGTGGGCTCCAGCAGAGAGAAGAGGAAGGCCAGAAGTAGACCGGGACAGGGGGAGGAAAGGACAGAGTCAAGGAACATTTAGGAGTTCGGTTCCCGGAGGCCTGGCGACACCCTGACGGGGAGGGGTGACGCGCACCCATTTGCAGGCAGAAAGGCAGGAGCAGGGGGGTGTCCGAGGATGGTGGCTCGGAGGGACCAGGCATAGGTGGTGCAAGCTCAGCAGTCACTCAAGGGGTGGCATGCGGATGAGGGAGGCGCCTCCCGGACTGGGGGACCGGGAAAGGCATTAGCAACCTGCCAGAACCCGGTTAACAAAGGCAGGACTACAATTCCCGGCATGCTCGGGCTCGGTGGGGTGACGGCGGGCGGTGGCTGCGCTGCACCCGACTGGTGGGCGCAGGACCTGGGTCGGCACCGGAGCCTGTCATCCCGGAGCGGTCGGCGGGGGTGCAGAGACGGCGATGCGCCCCTGTCCCCCGCACCCGGGCCGCTCCGGGCTCGCGCCTCCCGCCCCGCGGCCCCGCCCCCTGCCCCACCCCAGTCGGGAGGCTTAGCTGGGGCCGCAGCGCGGCGGCAACATCACTCTCGCTGCCGCTGCTCCGCCCCATCCCCTTCTGTTTTTCTCTCTCATTCTCCAGTGGCGGCGGCGGGGAAGGCGGAGGCAGAGGCAGCAGCAGCCGCGCTGGCTGCAATGAATGATCCCCCAGCTTGGGGGGAGGACTCCAGGTGAGCCTCTGCCCTCGGGAGGCCCGGGACCCCCGGCCGCCCACGACCGGCAGCCCACGCTATGGATCCCTAGAGGAAGGAGGAGAAGACAGCTCGCCGCCCACCCCCATCCCATTTTCCTCTTCCTTTATCTCATTGTTGCCGAAGCTGTTTACGGCAGCGCTCCCTCTGCTCCTGCATGGGGCGGGCTCCGGGCACGGCTGCTCGGCAGGCGCTGCTCCCGCGGCGACTGGGGGATTCTGCCTAATTCACCTCCCAGCCGGTGCAGAGAGGACCGGAGAGCGGTGGAGGCCCGGACTGCAGCAGCGTTGGGGCCACCTCCCAGCGTCCCCACCCTAGGAGGCTGCATGCGGATTGAAGAGCTGCGCCTGGGGGCTGGGCCGGCCCCGCTGATCCCGACCTAGCGAGCAGGATAGCAGGACCGCCCAGGCTGCGGAGGGGCTCGGGGGCAGGAAGGTCAGAGCAGCAAGATGGCCAGTAAGACCAAGGCCAGCGAGGCCCTCAAGGTGGTGGCCCGGTGCCGCCCCCTCAGCAGGAAGGAGGAGGCTGCTGGTCACGAGCAGATCCTGACCATGGACGTGAAACTGGGCCAGGTGACCCTGCGGAACCCCCGCGCCGCCCCGGGGGAGCTGCCCAAGACCTTCACCTTTGACGCCGTGTATGATGCCAGCTCCAAGCAGGCCGACCTGTATGACGAAACCGTGAGGCCCCTGATAGACTCCGTGCTCCAGGGTTTCAATGGCACGGTGTTTGCCTATGGCCAGACGGGCACTGGCAAGACCTATACCATGCAGGGGACCTGGGTGGAGCCCGAGCTGCGCGGGGTCATCCCGAATGCCTTTGAGCACATCTTCACCCACATCTCCCGCTCCCAGAACCAACAGTACCTGGTCCGGGCCTCCTATTTGGAGATCTACCAGGAAGAGATTCGAGACCTGCTCTCCAAGGAGCCGGGCAAGAGGCTAGAGCTGAAAGAGAACCCCGAGACTGGCGTCTACATCAAGGACCTCTCCTCCTTCGTCACCAAGAATGTCAAGGAGATTGAGCATGTGATGAACCTGGGGAACCAGACCCGGGCTGTGGGCAGCACCCACATGAATGAGGTCAGCTCCCGCTCCCATGCCATCTTCATCATCACTGTGGAGTGCAGCGAACGTGGCTCTGATGGCCAGGACCACATCCGAGTGGGCAAGCTCAACCTCGTGGACCTGGCTGGCAGCGAGAGGCAGAACAAGGCAGGCCCCAACACAGCGGGAGGGGCAGCCACACCATCCTCGGGTGGCGGTGGTGGCGGTGGAGGCAGTGGTGGTGGTGCTGGTGGAGAGAGGCCTAAGGAAGCCTCCAAAATCAACCTCTCATTATCTGCCCTGGGCAACGTGATTGCTGCCCTGGCGGGCAACAGGAGCACCCACATTCCCTACCGGGACTCCAAGCTGACCCGGCTGCTCCAGGACTCCCTGGGGGGGAATGCCAAGACCATCATGGTAGCCACACTGGGGCCAGCTTCTCACAGCTACGATGAGAGCCTCTCCACCTTGCGCTTTGCCAACCGAGCCAAGAACATCAAGAACAAGCCCCGGGTGAACGAGGACCCCAAGGACACACTGCTGCGGGAATTCCAAGAGGAGATTGCCCGCCTGAAGGCCCAGCTGGAGAAGAGGGGGATGCTGGGGAAGCGGCCCCGGAGGAAGAGCAGCCGCAGGAAGAAGGCCGTGTCCGCCCCGCCTGGGTACCCTGAGGGCCCAGTGATTGAGGCCTGGGTGGCAGAAGAGGAGGATGACAACAACAACAACCACCGCCCGCCCCAGCCCATCCTGGAGTCAGCCTTGGAGAAGAACATGGAGAATTACCTGCAGGAACAGAAGGAGCGGCTGGAGGAGGAGAAGGCAGCCATCCAGGATGACCGCAGCCTGGTGAGCGAGGAGAAGCAGAAGCTGCTGGAGGAGAAGGAGAAGATGCTGGAGGACCTGCGGCGGGAACAGCAGGCCACAGAGCTGCTTGCGGCCAAGTACAAGGTAAGGGCCCCAGAGGAGCTGGGCACTCGAGATGTCCCCGCAGGGGATCCCGGCAAGGAGGCTCTTCTTTGAGAGTCTGTGACCTGGCCTGAAGTGGAGGTTCTCCCTCAGCACCGCACACTGCCCTCCTGCCAAATGTGCCCCCAGAGCAGCCAGGCAAATTGCTGTGATACCGGGCTGCCAGGTACATGCACAGGCACACACACACGAAGCAACGTGGACAGGCGGTCTCTCAAGCCAGTGAGCTTGGGGTGGTCTGACCTGCTGTGGGCATTTCCTGCTGGTGGCCTCAGGATCAGTCAGGTCTGTGGGATGGCCAGGCAGCCTCTTGTGAATGTGGGTTCTTGTTCCTTCACAGCCTCCTCCCCTGAGGCTTCCTCCCTCTGCAGCATCTTCAAACCTCACGTCGTTTTAATAATATCATTTGGTTAGTGCTTCAGTTCAAAAAATGCCCCATATATATGATCCATACATGATCTCATTGGATCCTTTGGCCATCCAGGGTCACAGTTCTGAAATCCCCATTTCAGAGGTGAGGAATTAAAGCTTGGAGAAGTGACGTGACCAAGGTTCCATCCTATGAAGTGGCAGAGCTGAGCTGGAACCCATGGACCTCATGCTGTTTCAGTTCTTAGCTGGGCAAAGTGGGACCATGAACAGATTCTGCTCCCTGGGAAAATGGTCCCCTGGGCCTTACAGTGCAGGAGCCATTGCTTGCTATCATTAGGAAAGAGATTTGGGGGTTATGCAGGAGGTAGGGTGGAAAAAGCACCAAACTCTATACCAGAGACCAAGAGACTGGCCTAGCCATTCTACAGCTCATTGAGTGGCCTTGTGTAAGTTGCTTCTCTCTTTTCTCAGGCCTCAGTTTACCTTTCTGTAAAATAGAGGGTTGGCCTGGGTGATCTCTGAGGCTCTACCTATCTGATAATTCTATGGCCTATATTAATCTGAGCAGCAAGCCAACCGACCCCTGCCCCGAGGCCTCATCACAGTTAATATCCAATTCCCCATAACCCTGAGAGATGTCAGGACCTCAGCATCCTTCCTGAGCTGTTTCCTCACCCCCGGGACCTTCCAGGCTCTAATGGGGCTAACTACAGAGGCCCCTCCCTGTCCAGTCATAGACCTATTAAGTTGCATTGCTGAGGATGCCACAACTCAATGTTCCAGGCATTTCCAGGCCCCTGGAGCCTTCAACACTAGGGGTGGAAGGAAGGACACAGGAAGCCATGAGCTTGCTGGGAAGAGCAAAATATTGCCATTTCTTATTCCTTCTCAGGAATGTGGGCTGGGGAGCAGGGGGGCCCAGCCTACAGCCACTGGGAGAGTGACAGATGAGCTGTATGCCATTGTCTGTTTTGGGAATGTGCTGCTGCAGCAGGGGCTCTGGCCTTACATATTTAATATTTAATTCACTTCTTTGAGCCCAGGAAGAGTTATGCTGAGCTGTTTCCTCAAGGAAAGGATCAGGGGCCTGGAACCTTTAGGGACATCCTGAGAGAAGCAAGATATTAGAGGCAGGGCCGTTAGATTGAAGCCCTCCCTAGGAGGGAGGGAATCCAGTGTTTGCTTACCTGGTCAATCTGCCATTGATTTTGCTAAGAAGACCCCCCACCTCCCTGAAAGCTGGAAGGCAACAAAGGCTAAGAAGGGAGGAAAATGCAATAACACACTTCGGCTGCCTGAGGGATGGGGTGAAGGTTTCCGTTGTTGGGAACTGACCAGTTTCCCTCAGTGAGATCCTTGGATCTAAGGCAGTATGGGGCACAGATGATAGAACGGCCAAGAGATCAGGGCGGCCAGCACCAGAATTCTTGCACCAGAGGCATAGCCCACAAAATATCACAGTCTTAGAGTTGGCAGGAGCTTTGGAAAACTGAGACCTGGACTTGCCCAGGGCCACACAGGTGAGTTGAGGAGAGCCTAGCCCCTTTATATATGGAAGAGCCCAGCCTCTTTCCACTGCTTGAGTCCTAATGTTACCTGTGCTACTTGATAATCAGAGTAATTCATTTTTATATAAGGCGTTGACATCTTAATCTCATTCGATCCTCCCAACAACCCCAAGGGGTGGGTACTATTATTTCCATTCAACAGTTATGAAAACTAAGGCTGGGGAGGTGGAGTGAGTGTCTTATCAGCTCGTGACCCTGGGTGATAGGCAGCAGAGCCAGGACTGGAACCCAGGTCTTCTGATGCCCCCAGCCCTGTGCTCTTTCCAAGGCATCTCAGATTCCTCCATGTTTGCTCACTGTGTGACTCAGGGCAACCGCCTTTCCCTCTCCAGCCCTCAGGCTTCCATTCACCTAATGAGGAGGAGAAGCCTGACCTTGCTCCCTGGGGAGTGGGTGAAACAGTCACTATGTACCAGGTGTTCAGATGGAAGCAAAGGGGGAGGAGTGCCTGGGAAATTCCACAACAGGAATGATTCCATACCCTGTGACTTCTCATCACACTCAGCCTAGGACAATCAGCAGCCAGCAACCCAAAATGGAACCTAGACAGAGGACCCAAGTTCCCCATAGCCCCAAGGCACCGCCTGGTTCAGTGTCGGATGTTTCTAGGCTGGTGGAAACAATTTGAGGGCTCTTGAGGAATCTACAGGGTAAAGAGGGGAGGAGCATGTTAGAGATACCAACCCCAGTCCTGCCTATTTCCCAGGGTTGAGGATTAAATGAGATCATTAGCACGAGGGCATTTAAAATAAGTTGAAAGCACCAAATACATGGAAGGCATTAGCAGCTATGGGGTGGCTTCTGTCCACCAAGCTGGGGTCCAGTGATCTCCAGGACAGACATCTTTGTTGTTAGCTTGACTTCTTCTTTACCCTGCCATCCCAGCTGCCTTGCCATAACCCTGCAGCTTGCTGGGAGTAGAGCCAGGCAGGAGAGGTCTAGGAGATTTCAGAAGGCAGGCTCCCCATCTGCAGCTCACTCCTGTCCCCCCTTTCTGAGTTATGGCATCAACTCCGCTTCTTCCCTGACCAGCTCCCATTCCCTTCTTCCAGTTCATGCCACCCTCTGGGGGCAGCTAAGTGGTAGTTGATGCGACCCAGTGCCCTCATTCACTCTCTCTGACTCATCTCATAGTCTGTCTCGCCAGCTCTCCCTGCCTGCCACCTCCCAGGCTCCCTGTTCTCTTTGTTCTCCCCTCACTGTGCACAAACACCATGCCTGTCTCCTTGGAATCTCATTTCATCCCTCCTTTCATGTTTACTGTGGGCCTCAGGGGATGTTCGGGTGTGCAAATGTGTGAGAGTTTGTGATTGTGATCAGTGTCCTGTTTATCAGTAATCATTAGCAATTTATACTTATGTAGTGTCTGGGGGAGGGAGGGTGTGGGCGGGAAATGCTGGTGGGAGCTTGATAACATACTAGGCCTGTGAGGTAGGAGGAATAGGTAACATCACAGACCCACAATGCACAGTGAAAACTTCAAATATTTGGTACTGCGCAGTGAAAACCCAAATATTTGTGCGCAGTATACATACTGCAGTGAGGACAGGTGAACACACGTAGATTGGTTGGGAGAAGGCCTACTTTATTCAAATGTAATCATGCAAGACAATTTTTAAATGACTGCTTTAATTTTGAAATTAACTTTTTTTTTGAGATGGAGTTTCGTTCTTGTTGCTGAGGCTGGAGTGCAATGGCACGATCTCAGCTCATTGCAACCCTGCCTCCCGGGTTCAAGGGATTCTCCTGCCTCATCCTCCCTAGTAGCTGGGATTACAGGTGCCCACCACCATGCCCAGCTAATTTTTTGTATTTTTAGTAGAGACGGGGTTTCATGAGGTTGGCAAGGCTGGTCTCGATCTCCTGACCTTGTGATTTGCCCACCTCAGCCTTCCAAAGTGCTGGGATTACAGGCATGAGCCACTGCATCTGGCTTAGTTAATTTTTTCAAGGAGTTGGACTAGATGATTCCTAAAACTTTGATTTTAGCTACTTAAAGGAAAAAAAGAGTGTTTGTGTACAGATGATACAGAATGCAGGCACGAATTGAAGACAGAAACAACAGCATCGGATGTGATCCCCAATAAGAAGGTCTGGAGGGAGAAGAGCTGGGGTTCTTGGCTGGAGCCCACTCTCTCTGTGGTGAATGTAGAAAAGAGAACCTGCAGAAGCAGCCCCGGAAGCCAGAGGGATGCGGTCATAAGGAGGAATGCGAACTGTGTTGAAATTGTATTGTCCCTTTTGTGGGTCCTGCTTTCTCCCACCCCTCAGCAGGGGGATTAACCATAAATGCAAGAGAGAATGTTTCAAGCCTGAGCGACAACAGTAACAGTAATAATAATGACATTTACTGAGCACTTGCTTTGTGCCAAGTGCTATCCTATATACAGATTATCTCGTTTATTCCACATGAGCACCCTCCAAGAAAGGTGCTGTTATTGTTCTTGTTTTTTTTTTGAGGCGGAGTCTCACTCTGTCGCCCAGGCTGGAGTGCAGTGGCGTGATCTCGGCTCACTGCAAGCTCCACCTTCTGAGTTCACGCCATTCTACTGCCTCAGCCTCCCGAGTAGCTGGGACTACAGGCGCCCACCACCACGCCCGGCTTACTTTTTGTATTTTTAGTAGAGATGGGGTTTCACCACGTTAGCCAAGATGGTCTGGATCTCCTGACCTCATGATCCACCCGCCTCAGCCTCCCAAAGTGCTGGGATTACAGGCCTGAGCCACTGCACCTGGCCTTATTGTTCTTGTTTTATAGATGAGAAAACAGAGCTCCATTGAGGTGAAATAACTCTCCCAAGGCCACATGGTTGGTATAGTAAAACTATGTAAACCCAGCTGGATTTGACACAAAATCTGATGCTCTTTTAGGCTTAAAAAATTAGGAATATCAGGTTGGGAACTGGTTCCTGAGGAGGTGCTGAAAAATTATAGGAGTAGGCTGGGCAAATTATAGGAGTAGGAGTGGCTCACACCTGTAATCCCAGCAATTTGGGAAGCCAAGGTGGGTGGATTCCTTGAGCCCAGGAGTTCCAGACCAGCCTGGACAACATGGAGAAACCCTGTCTTGACAAAAAATACAAAAAATTAGCCAGGCATGGTGGTGTGTACCTGTAGTCCCAGCTACGCAGGAGACTGAGGTGGGAGGATCGCTTGAGCCCAGGAGGTTGAGGCTGCAGTGAGCCTTGATTGCACCATTGCACTCCAGCCTGTGTGACAGAGAGGAACCCTGTCTTAAAAAGGAAAGAAAAGAAAACTGATAGGAGCTGCTGTAGATGTGTCACATTTGAGGTGACAGAGTCCAGTGGGCAGCTGGAGTTGGGCCAGTGGAGTTTAGAAAGAAGCCCGAGACTGGAAATGGAGATTGGGTCTCATTTTTTTTTTTTTTGAGATGGAGTTTCACTTTTGTTGCCCAGGCTGGAGTGGAATGGTGTGATCTTGGCTCACCGCAACCTCTGCCTCCCAGGTTCAAGCGATTCTCCTTCCTCAGCCTCCCGAGTAGCTGGGATTACAGGCATGCACCACCACACCCAGCTAATTTTATATTTTTAGTACAGATGGGGTTTCTCCATGTTGGTCAGGCTGGTCTCAAACTCCTGACCTCAGGTGATCCACCTGCCTCAGCCTCTCAAAGTGCTGGGATTATAGGCATGAGTCACCATGCCCAGCCCTGCCCCTCTATTTTTGACACTCTATCCCTCTGTGTAAATGACTCCCAGATCGAGGTCTCCTCTCTGGTCTCTCTGCTGGCCTTATTATATGAAGTGCTATGTTCAGGGCATGGGCATCAGAGTCAGCCAGGTCTGGATTTAGTGACTTACCAGTTCTGAGGCCTCTGAGTACCAGTTTCCTTAGCTATAAAATGGGATAGTAATAGTATCTTTGTTACAGTGCTATTGAAATAATTAAACAAGGGCCAGGCGCAGTGGCTCATGCCTGTAATCCCAGCACTTTGGGAGACAGAAGCAGGAGGATCACTTGAGCCCAGGAATTCAAGACCAGTCTGGGCAATATAGCAAGACCTTGTCTCTAGGAAAAAAAGAAAAAGGCCGGGCGCGGTGGCTCATGCCTGTAATCCCAGCACTTTGGGAGGCCGAGGTGGGTGGATCACGAGGTCAGGAGACTGAGACCAGCCTGGACAACATGGTGAAACCCCGTCTCTACTAAAAATACAAAAATTAGGTGGGCTTGGTGGCGCGCGTCTGTAGTCCCAGCTGCTCAGGAGGCTGACGCAGGAGAATCACTTGAACCCGGGAGGCAGAGGTTGCAGTGAGCCGAGATCACACCACTGCACTCCAGCCTGGTGACAGAGTGAGACTCCGTCTCAAAAAAGAAAAAAAGAGAATTAAACAAGAGAACGAACATAAAGCACTTTGCACAGTTTCTGGCACACAAGTGTTAAGTAAATAATTATTATTGCT
Organism: Homo sapiens; assembly: GCF_000001405.40. Classification (NCBI taxonomy): domain Eukaryota; kingdom Metazoa; phylum Chordata; class Mammalia; order Primates; family Hominidae; genus Homo; species Homo sapiens. Next base: position 25,973,993 of record NC_000002.12, on the reverse strand, counting down.
ATGTCAAACCACCTAATAGATGTTTTCACTTGGCCACCTTCCTGATATATTAAACACATCACATTTTAGTTTGGCATTCAAGGCGCTTCAGAGTCTGACTGCAATGCATCTCTTCTATCTTGCCTGCCCAAGCCGGTTACTCCAATAGGAAAACCCTGCACCAGCTGTTCTACCCCTTCCTTTGAAATCAACATGGGCCTCCCTATCCTACTGCTGATTGCACTGTTTTTGTGTCCTGGATTGTTGCTGGTAACCAGGGAGTACGAATTATGGAAGCAGGTTAAGCTTAATTTAAAGATCTCTTTAACAGTTAAAATTGGGCTGTTTCAAGAAGAAATAGGTGGCCTTGATGGTGGTGATGATTTCACGGTTGTATACCTGTCCCCAAATTCATTGAGTTGTATACATTAAATATGTACAGCTTTTTTTTTTTTTTTTTTGAGACAGAGTCTCACTCTGTTGCCCAGGCTGGAGTACAGTGGGACGATCTTAGCTCACTGCAACCTCCGCTTCCCGGGTTCAAGCAATTCTCCTGCCTCAGCCTCTTAAGTAGCTGGGATTACAGGTGCACGCCACCACACCTGGCTAAGTTTTGTATTTTTAGTAGAGATGGGGTTTCACCATGTTGTCCGGGCTGGTCTTGAGCTCCTGACCTCAGGTGATGCACCCACCTCAGCCTCCCAAAGTGCTGGGATTACAGGCATGAGCCACCGTGCCTGACCTAAATATGTACAGCTTTTTACACATCAATCATGCCCCAGTAAAGTCATGGGCTCCCATCCCTGGAAGTGTTCAAGGAGAGACCGAATGTCAGTGGTGCACTAAGGGCTTGATATATCAGGAAAGCCGTTGAACCAGATGATCTTCAGAATCCCTTTCTCTTAAAGGCCCTTAATTGTTTAAAATGTTATTTTTTAAACAGTAAAAGAGAAAATATTTAGCTTTCTGAAAATTAAGACCAGAAGATTTAAATTTTAATGTAGTATGAATTCAAACAATAATATAATAGAGGATGTTTTTCAGCTCTCTGTCATAACCAGTTAGAGAAGAGTCAAAGACAATGGGAAGAAGAGAAGAGAGAAAGAGAGAGATAATAGGAGAAAAGCAAGAGAGAAATAGAGGGGGACAATAAAGAGGGGAAAGAGAAAGAGGTGGGGAGGTAGAGTGGGTAAAGCTGTGGACGACAGGGTTTTTGGGAAGAAGAAACCTCGATTGGGAGAGGAAGTGCTGTAGTGGAGAGAGTGAAATACTGTGTATCATTCCACTGTCCTGATCTTAATGTTAGTCTTCAAATAGGGCTATCTCCAGTCTCCAGAGACTTCCACAAAGCTGATCTGGTTCCATCCACATGTCCCCAAGGACACCAGCCCCATGCTAGACACTCTGAGATTTGTGGGGCTGTGTGATCAGCTGAGTCCTGTATGATCAGACCCTTGAAAGAAGCCTTGAGATAACAAGTGACCCATACTCCAGGCTGGGTTTGGATCCAGGTCACAGTCCATGACCTCTTGGTGTTGGTGAGAGCAGTGTCTTGTATTCCTTCTCATCCCTGGTGGGTGTGGTCAGTTAACAGAATCGTTGCGTCCTGGGGGCATTTTGTAACACAAAGATTTGACTAGTGGGAAGTATATGACACTAATGGATTTCCATATGAGATTCTGGGCTTCAAGTGACATTGAGGCTCAGCAGGCCTTTTGGTCCAGTGTTAGGTTTCTCGTGCTATGTGTTGGCTGGAGGAGGGTATTATCATACTGCCCTGAGTCATTTCCAGCCTCCGCAGAGCACAAGATTGGATGAAGTGGCTTTGACAATATTCTCATTGTGCTCTGAAGACTAGGAAGAAAGGCCTGGAATTCAGATAGAGAGGGGCACTTTTCTCTGCCAGCCCACTGCGCCTGGCCAGTCTGGGGCACCTCTTCTGGAGCTGCTGAACCAGGTGGCATGTTTGAATGAATAAGGAAATGCTTCCCCAGGTGCAGTGGCTCATGCCTGAAATCCCAGTATATTGGGAGGGTGAGGTAGGAGGATCACTTGAGGCCAGGAGTTTGAGACCAGACTGGACAACAAAGCCAGACCCCATCTCTACAAAAAAGTAAAAAAAAAAAAAAAAAAAAAAAAAAAAGCTAGGCATGGTACTGCATGCCTGTAGTCCTAGCTGCTCAGGAGGCTGACATGGAAGGATGGCTTGAGCCTAGGAGTTCGAGGTTTCAGTGAGCCTTGATCTTGCCACCGCACTCCAGCCTGGACAACAGAGCGAGACCCCAACTCACAAAAAAAGAAAATGAAACAAAATGGTCTCTCTTTCCACAGATCCAGCTCTGCAGCTATAGAGGCTGTACAAGGCACACCCTCATGCTCAGACCTTATAGGACACCCACACTTGTGGTTTGGTATATCTAGAATTTTTAATATCCTGAGAAGTTCCTGGGCATTAACTCCACCTCATACTAAAAAATTACTTTCTAGTTGTCTCACTTTCTTCCCAGATATACTCAACAGAAGAGTCCCAGGCCCTGGGCTGAGCTATTTCTTTTTTCTTTTTCTTTTTTTTTTTTGAGATGTAGTCTGTCTCTGTCACCAGGCTGGAGTACAGTGGCGTGATCTCAGCTAACTGCAAGCTCTGCCTCCCGGGTTCAAGCGATTCCCCTGCCTCAGCCTCCTGAGTAGCTGGGACTACAGGTGCGCGCCACCACGTCCTGCTATTTTTTTTTTTTTTTTTTTTGAGACAGAGTCTTGCTCTGTCACCCAAGCTGGAGTGCAGTGGCGTGATCTCAGCTCACTGCAAGCTCCGCTTCCCAGCTTCACACCATTCTCCTGCCTCAGACTCCCGAGTAGCTGGGACTACAGGCACCCGCCACCACGCCAGGCCAATTTTTTGTATTTTTAGTAAAGACGGGGTTTCACCATGTTAGCCAGGATGGTCTCCATCTCCTGACCTTGTGATCCGCCCGCCTCGGCCTCCCAAAGTGCTGGGATTACAGGCATGAGCCACTGTGCCCGGCCCTTTTTTTTTTTTTTTTTTTTTTTTCCTTCATAGAGACAGGGTTTCACCATGTTGGCCAGGGTGGTCTCGATCTCCTGACCTCATGATCCACCCGCCTCGGACTCCCAAAGAGCTGGGATTACAGGCATGAGCCACCATGCCCTGCCGGGCTGAGCTATTTCTATAGCACTAGCTAATGTACATGCAGGGTTTCTCCTTTCTTCAGGTGGGCCAGCAGAAAAATAACAACAGTGGTGGTAATAATGATAGCTACCATTTCTTCCATGCGTGCTTAATGCCAACCACTCTGATGTGTTCTTTTTTTTTTTTTTTTTTTTTTTTTGAGACAAAGTTTCACTCTTGTTTCCCAGGCTGGAGTGTGATGGCGTGACCTCGGCTCACTGCAACCTCCACCTCCCGGGTTCAACCAATTCTTCTGTCTCAGCCTCCAGAGTAGCTGGGATTATAGTGGCCACCACCACACCTGGCTAATTTTTGTATTTTTAGTAGAGACAGGGTTTTGCCACGTTGACCAGACTGGCGCCGAACTCCTGATCTCAGCTGATCCGCCTGCCTCGGCCTCCCAAAGTGCTGGGATTATAGGCGTGAGCCACCGCGCCCGGCCTGATGTGTTCTGATGTGTTCTTTATGTGTATCATTTTGCTTCATCCTCACGGTAGCGTGAATCTTCATCTGACTAGTGAGGATACTGAGGCACATTAAGGAATGAACATTCCAAGTTCGCACACCTAGAAAGTGGTAGGGCCAGAGTTACGAGCCCATGTCTGCCTGACTCCATAACCCATGATCTTCACCTCCACACTGTAATGCCAGCTCAGACAGGAAGGATTTATGCCAGATCCCTGACTAATAAGCCCCAGTGGGAACTCTTGTCTCCTGAGATATTTAACTCATCTTTGTCCTTCTGTATGATGCAAACCCCCAGCTTCTAACCTCAGCCCAGCACCATTCGTTCGTATAATCAACAAATCTTTGGCCGGGTGCAGTGGCTCACGCCTGTAATCCCAGCACTTCGGGAGGCCGAGGTGGGCAGATCACTTGAGGCCAGGCATTCACGACTATCTTGGCCAACATAGCGAAACCCTGTCTCTACCAAAAATACAAAAATTAGCTGGGCATGGTGGCGTGTGCCTGTAGTCCCAGCTACTCCAGAGGCTGAGGTGGGAGGATCACTTGAATCCAGGAGGCAGAGGTTGCAGTGAGCCAAGATCACGCCACTCTCTTGCCTGGGCAATAGAGTGAGACTCTGTCTTAAAAAAAAAAAACAAAAACCCAACAAATCTTTTTAAGTAACCATGGCCAAGGACATAAATCAGTAGGTATAGTTAACTTCATCTTTAAATTCTTTAAATTTCTGGAAGGAATCATAAGAACTCGCAATAATGGTTATTGCTAGGGATTTTAATATGGAGGGGAATTTTTATTTTTCACTTTATACCTTTTTATTTTATTTTTCACAATAAGCATGTAATACTTTAAAAAGTCATCTGGGACTTTTTTTTATTTTTTCAAAAGTTTTGGGGGAACAGGTGGTGTTTGGTTACATGGATAAGTTCTTTAGTGGTGATTTCTGAGATTTTGGTGCACCCATCACCCACTTTTAAAAAATTAAACAAAAATTAATCTGAATTTTTTAAAGGAAAAAGCCCTTTGTCAGGGTTCTATGTTTTAAAAAAGACGGGGGGGACATATAAAAGATATATGTTAATGCCTAGTTGGAAGATTTGCTTAAAGGTAATGAATAATTGAGGAAAATCCAGGGTTGATAATAATGCTCAATTATACTCAGTTATTGGTAATCCTGTGACCTTGGACAAGTCACTTTCCCTCCCAGGAGCTGTAAGGAATGACCAATAGATGATTCCTGACCGGACGCGGTGGCTCACGCCTGTAATCCCAGCACTTTGGGAGGCCAAAGCAGGCAGATCACCTGAGGTCAGGAGTTCGAGACCAGCCTGACCAACGTGGCGAAACCCTGTCTCTACTAAAAATGCAAAAATTAGCTGGGTGTGGTGGCACACGCCTGTAATTCTAGCTACTCAGGAGGCTGAGGCAGGAGAATCACTTGAACCCGGAAGGCGGATGTTGCGGTGAGCCGAGATCACGCCACTGCACTCCAGCCTGGGTGACAGAGCAAGACTCTGTCTCAAAAAAGAAAAAAAAAAAAAAGATGATTCCTTGCTTTCTGTACCATTTGCTGATTCACCTTGGAAGCAGGCCAGGGTTAGAAACCAGCCTGAGTGAAGGACAGTGAAGGACAGAGAGGAATGACCCAGCCTTGACTGGGAGCCTAGAGGCTGTGTGACCCAGGACCACGAACCTAACCCCTCTGGGCCCCGCACCTGATCTGTAAACTGCTCAGACTACACTATATATATCCTTAGGTTCATCCAGTTCTGACACTGGAACATTCTGTTGTCTGGATTTGCTGAAGAGAAACCCTCTAGAAAGTCACAAATAAGCAAGGGAAATAGGGCGGAAAGGTGAAGATAAGCATTGATCTGAGGGGCTCATGGTTTTTTCACTAAAGTAGAAGGGCTGATTAGTTTCCTTCCTGCTTTTTTTCAAGGTGAGCTGAGGCACTTCTGGGCATCCTTGCCTTGTTCAGTTTAAGGCTGGTACTGGAGTCCAGCTCGCCTCATCCCTTGGCCAATAGTTTCCTGATCTCAAATTGTTCTTTCTTCTTGATAAGGAAATTCCTAGCACTTGAACCATTCGTCATTTTTGTTGTGTTTTGAGCCATCCAAGGCGGAGACTCAGACTCAGTCTCCTGATTTTTGTCTCCCAGGGAAGGATATCATTGAAAATAGCATTATTCATCTGAAAATGGTACTCTTCATCCCCTCCCCATTGTCTCTTTCATTTCTTCTTCCCTTACTGCTGACTCCTCAAGATGTACAATCAGGGCGCTGGAAAAGGAGAAATAGGTCTGTGAGGGAAGGGGTGGCTATATTTTCTAAGAGATGGAAGCGGGGTCTGTTGAGATTGTTGTTTTGGTTTTGCTTTTTGTGGCAAGTGGTGGGTAAAATACCAATGAGATACCGAAACAGCGAGTAACGACTACCATTTGGGTGTAATTTATCACTTACCAACACTTTCACATCTATTCTCAAACTCGCTGGTTGTTTTGTTTTGTTTCTGTTTTTTGTTTTGTTTTGTTTTTTGAGACAGGGTCTCACTCTGTCACCTAGGCAGGAATGCAGTAGTGCAATCTCAGCTCACTACAGCCTCCACCTCCCGGGCTCAAGGAATCCTTTCATCTCAGCTTCCCAAGTAGATGAGATTACAGAGATGGAACTACAGGCACACAATACTACGCCTGGCTAATTTTTAAAATAAATGTTTTGTAGAGATGGGGTCTCACTATGTTGCCCAGGCTGGTCTTGAACTCCTGGGGTCAAGTGATCTGCCTGCTTCAGCCTCCCAAAGTGCTGGGATTACAGGCGTGAGCCTCTGCACCCAGCCCAACTTGCTGTTCTTACCCAAGGCCTGAAAGGTAGCAGGTATTCTCCCCATTTTACAGATGAGAAAGTGGAAGTCCAAAGGGCTGAAGAGCTAGGTTTTGTAGCAAAGAGAGTGGCAGAGTGTGTAGCCCGACTGGAGCACCCTGACTCCCACACCCAGCCACCTTTATATCATTCCACCACAGAACTTGTGCAGGGGCCCTTCCCACAAATATTTTCCCAGAGTTTTTAGCCTCTCTCTGGGACTCTAGGGATCCTGACAACCTCCCTGCCAGCACACAGTTAAGAGCTCTAACCCACTTATCTCAGAGACCCCCATAAGACTCTCACACAGGCAGAAGCAGCAGCAGCAGAGCCCTGCCTATTTCAGCCAAAAGAGAAAGCAAGGAGGCTCTGAGCTTTCCTGATGGTTCCTGAGTTGGCAAAGGTACAAATACCAAATGCTGCTTCTCTCCAAGGTGCTTTCCTGTCTGAACCTGGAAGAAAGCCATGGAACAGAGAAAAGGACATTGGGCTTGGAGTTAGGGCGGTGGTGGTCAAATATCACTCTGCCATTTACTGGCTCCAAACCTTGAGCAAATCACTTCGCCTGTCTGGGCCTTAGTTTTCTTTTATGTCAAATGGGGATCATAACCATTATCTCATAAGGTTCTTGTGAGCATCAGATAGGACGATTAAGGTAAAAAGGAGTTAACCCAGTTGAGGCACATGGCCAGTTGCATCTGAGACTCCTGTCTCCTGCGGAATGTCACAGATAGGTGGCAGTGGCAGGGCAGAGCCTGTTTGGCTTCTCTGTCCTTGTAAAATCATACTTGATGCTATCTTTCCAGAAGAGTGGCTGGCTGGGCCTGGCTGTCTCCATTCTAGCTTTCCACGTCAGTGCTTTATGAGTACTGGGGCCTCCTTTCTCCCCGCTCTGGTTTTGCACTCCATTTGCTCCTGGAATAGTTAAAGGTGAGTCTCTGAGTATCCCCGGCTGTGTCTACAAGCTGGCATTGTCCCTGTAGTGACCTGGCTGTTGTCACAGCAGCTGACCTGCCTCTGATACCTGGAATCAGAGCCTTAGTCAAATTGGGAAGTTATTTGGAAAGCACATAGTCAATATAAGAGCAGCTAGACAGGTGGGGCGTGGTGGCTCACGCCTGTAATCCCAGCACTTTGGAAGGTCAAGGTGGGTGGATCACTTAAGGTCAGGAGTTCGAGACCAGCCTGGCCAACATGGTGAAACCCCATCTCTACTAAAAATGCAAAAGCTAGCTGGGCGTGGTGGCAGGCACCTGTAGTTCCAGTTACTTAGGAGGCTGAGGCAGGAGAATTGCTTGAATCCAGGAGGCAGAGGTTGCAGTGAGCCGAGATTGTGCCTCTGCACTCCAGCCTGGGTGACAAAATGAGACTGTCTTAAAAAAAAAAAAAGAGCATCTAGACAGATTCCTTAATTAGGAGACTCAGGCTTCAAGGACTCCACTTCTAGGCCTTTGTTTCCCATCTATAAAGCATGGGGGTTGGGGTTGATGATTCCCAAAGTCCCCTTGGTTACCCTGCCCTTCATATCCATCTCTCAAGTGAGAGACTATGGTGCCCTGGAGCTCCCAGCCCTGTCTTTTCCACCCCCACAGCCTGTGCTGGCCTTTTAGTTACACTGGACTTGTTTAGAATCAGCAGAACCAAACCCAATCCTGTCCCCAGGCCCACCCACCTATAGTCTTTTGCTCTGAAATATTACAAAAGAAGCATTGACTGGAATGGCTGAGAGCTTCAGGGAAGTTCTCTTGAAGACTAGGAACTCCACATTCTCATGTCCTCTGCTTGGTATATTCTAGACTGAATTAGGCTCAGGGATTTCAGGCATCCCTGTCCCTCCCTATCCTCATAGGTGATGGTTAAGGATAGAGATCTCTAAAAAAATTAGTCGGGTGTGGTGGCTCATGCGGCTATTTGGGAGGCTTAGGTGGGAGGATCTCTTGAGTCTGGAACATCCAGGCTGCAGTGAACCACTGCACTCCAGCCTGGACAACAGAGCGAGATCCCGTGTCTCAAAAGAAAAGAAAAGGCTCAAGATCTCTGAGAGAAAGGAGGAGATGGCCACTGGTATCCTCAGACAAATGTGGAAATAAAAAAGTAAAGGAAAAAAATCTATTTCTAAGCCAAGAAAGGAATCTCATGCATGACATATTTCCGAGCATGGGAGTGAAGCAGACAGCTTGGGGTGAGACTGGGGAGAAGGAGGGAGCAGAGACCCTGCACCTGGACTGAGGCCCACCCACAGATTTCATGCCAGAGCCAACCCCATCTTCCCAGCACAAGACTGGTCTGTCAGCCAGGCTTGGCTGAGAGTGTGGGTTTGAGCAAGTGGGCAAGACTTGGCCAGTGACTGATAAGGCAAATTCAGTTGACATTCAGACCACGTCTGTGCTGGGTCCCGGCAGGGCTGGCAGAGAAACACAGGGGCATTGGACAGACGGGTGGAGTGATAGTGGCCAGTTAGTCATCGTCCAGGATTCTCTTTATGGAGCCCAGGGCCCAGCCCGCAGGAGAGATTGTGAAGCAGAGTTCTAGGTCCACAGAGGAGATCCAACGCGGAAGCAGATGAGCAGAAACCAGCCCAGGAGCTGGTCTTGAGACTCCTGTAATGGGGAAGAGGGAGGAAGGAGGGCTGGGACTTGGGGACTCAGCAGTCATGCTTGGCTAATGCATCAGACCCCAGGCCTGACTGGCAGCTCAAATTATGCCTGATAGTGTCCAGGTGGCTTCAAGAACTGGGTGAGTTGGTAGCCTTTGAGTGAGAAGGACTTGGGCCTAGGTGTGGATAGCTGGGGAAGGTGGAGGCTGAATAAACAAAAAATTTCATTTTGAATCTGAGGTCCATCTCTTCACTTGAAAATCACCAAAAAAATTAGCCGGCATGCTGGCACATGCCTGTAGTTCCAGCTACTCAGAAGGCTGAGGTGGGAAGATCTTTTGAGCCCAGGAGCTGGAGGCTGCAGTGAGCTCTGATCATGCCACTACATTCCAGCCTGGGCAACAGAGCAAGACCCCGTCTCTAATGGAAAAAGAAAAATCACCAAAAAGTTTTTAAAAACACAATATAGAGTATGTTGGGAAAGGAAAGCTCAGGCCTCCACAAAGACCACCTTAAAGGTATGGAGAATATAAAATGAATGCAGAGGCTCGATTTTATATCTATTATTATAACAAATGTTTATTTTTATTTTATTTTATTTATTTTATTTTTGAGACAGAGTCTTGCTCTGTGGCCCAGGCTAGAGTACAGTGGTGCTATCTCAGCTCACTGTAACCTCTGGCGATTCTTGTGCCTCAGCCTCCTGAGTAGCTGGGATTCCAGGTGCACGCCACCATGCCCAGCTAATTTCTGTCTTTTTAGTAGAGATGAGATTTTGCCATGTTGGCCAGGCTAGTCTCAAACTCCTGGCCTCAAATGATGCACCTGCCTAGGTCTCCGAAAGTGTTGGGATTACAGGTATGAGCCACTGTGCCTAGCCATAACAAATTTTTAAAATAATAATACTTCATGCGGAGCCAGGGATGGTGGCTCACGCCTGTAATCCCAGCACTTTGGGATGCTGAGGTGGGCGGATCACAAGGTCAGCAGTTTGAGACCAGCCTGGCCAACATAGTGAAACCCCATCTCTACTAAAAATACAAAAATTAGCCAGGTGTGGTGGTACACATCTGTAATCCCAGCTACTCAGGAGGCTGAGGCAGGAGAGTCGCTTGAACCTGGGAGGCAGAGGTTGCAGTGAGCCGAGATCACGCCACTGCACTCTAGCCTGGGCAACGAAGTGAGACTCTGTCTCAAAATAATAATAATAATAATAATAATAATAATAATAATAATAATACTTCATGCCTATGATGCTGTAATAAAAATGGTTCCATTATTTACTGCTGGCAGTAGTTTAAGTCATTAGAATGATAATTGACAATATGTTCCAAGATACACAAAATGTTTATAACCCTTTGTCCTCTTCTGAAATTCCTTTCTAAGAAAGTCACCTAAAAAAGCAAAAAATTAGGCTGGGAGTGGTGGCTCACACCTGTGATCACAGCACTTTGAGAGGCTGAGGCAGGTGGATCCCTTGAGCCAGCCTGGGCAACATGGCAAAACCCTGTCTCTACAATAAAATACAAAAATTAGCCAGGCGTGGTGGTGGGTGCCTGTGGTCCCAGCTACTCAGGAGGCCAAGGCAGAAGAATCATTTGAACCTGGGAGGCGGGAGGTTTCAGTGAGCTGAGAGTGCACCACTGCACTCCAGCCTGGGTGACAGAGTGAGACTCTATCTTTAAAAAAAAAAAAAAAAAAAAAAAAAATATATATATATATATATATATACACACACACATACATACACACACACACATATATGCATATATATACATATACATGTATCTATGTACACATGTATATGTATATATATGCATATATGTGTGTGTATGTGTGTATATATATTTATATATTTATATATTATATATTATATATTATATATTATATATATTATATATTATATATTATATATATTATATATTATATATTATATATTATATATATTATATATTATATATTATATATTATATGTATTATATATTATATATATTATATATTATATATATTTTATATTATATATATTTTATATATTATATATATTATATATTATATTATATATTATATATTTTATATATTTTATATATTATATATATTATATATTATATAATATATATTATATATATAACATATATTTTATATATATATTATATTATATATATATTAGGTAAAGTGGAAATAGCAAGACATAAGCTTGTGTTTATACTATGTCCATAGAGGTGAAAAAAGGGCCAGGCACAGTGGCTCATGCCTGTAATCCCAGCACTTTGGGAGGCTGAGGTGGGTGGATCACCATAGGTCGGGAGTTCAAGACCAGCCTGACCAACATGGAGAAACCCTGTCTCTACAAAACTACAAAATTAGCCGGGTGTGGTGGTGCGCGCCTGTAATCCCAGCTACTTGGAAGGCTGAGACAGGAGACTCATTTGAACCCAGGAGGTGGAGGTTGCGTGAGCCGAGATCGTGCCATTGCACTCCAGCCTGGGCAACAAGAGCGAAACTCCGTCTCAAAAAAACAAAAACAAACAAAAAAAAACCAGGGAAAATGAAAGAAACCAAGTAGCCATGGTAGGGAATATGTGGCATTTGTCATTTTATTTCTTTGGTGATTTTGATGTTTGTGCAATTCTTTTTTTCTGAAAGGAGAGAAAGACAATAAAGGGTTAAAAACGTGTCCCCAGAATTCTTTAATAGACTGGTATTTCCTCCAGGGTTAACTCTTGAAGTAACAAATTTCGTAAATGTATTACCTTCTATAAACAGTAAAACTCCTTTTCGTTTGTCCTAAAAACTGCTGCTGTCAAACCTCAAGACGTGAGCTCTTACTCTATGTGCCAGGATGGATTGGAAAAGCCTGGATCTTTCCTTTTCATCCCCAGTTTTGATTGTTTCATTTCCAGACTTATCCTCTTAACTTTTCTTTGTCTTTTCAGAACAGAGTCTTTTTTTTTTTTTTTTGAGATGGAGTCTCATTCTGTTACCCAGGCAGGAGTGCAGTGGCACGATTTCAGCTCACTGCAACCTCCGCCTCGGGTTCAAGCGATTCTCCTGCCTCGGCCTCCCAAAGTGCTGGGATTACAGGCTTGAGCCACTGCGCCCGGCCTAAGCCTCCCTTCTCTTGATCTTCTCTCTGCTTTATGTCTCTGGAGATGCAGTAAGAGAACTACACACAGTACTCCCAATTCAGCCACATCATGGTTTTATATGAGGGTACAATGTTTTGTTTCTAAAAAGCCTTCATGATGGTGCCTGGGCAGATGCTACTGACTTTTTTAGCTGTGGCAGCATATTCAGCCAGTGTCTTCTGGGAACAGTGGAGTGTTACTCCTCCTCCTCCTCCCCTTTTTAGGGCTTATAATTGATTGCCCATGGCTATCATTTAATTAGTAGAGTTAGGATTCCTTTTCCCCAAAATGTAAAATTGTAATTGATGCTCATCTGCCATTTTTTGTCAGCTCACATAGGCTAGAAATTCTGTTGTACTTTACCACCTAGGAGGATTTGGGGGTGTCTGTGAAGTTGGGTATTTCACCCATGCACTCCTTCTTGCACAGCTTCAGAGATTAGTCCTGTTGTTTCACACTTGAGTGCTTTCCATCCAGAGAAATACCTGTTTATTTCTGTTTCCTTTCCCTAGTTCACTTCCCCTTTCTCCATCTCTTCACTCCCCATGTAACTTTGAATAACCTCTGATGTGCAGCCTTGCCAGGAGTGCTTTAACCTCCAGAGTTCTGGTCATTGGCTTCCCCATGTGCTGTAATAACCTATTCCGTCCCATTCTGAAAGAACTCTCAGAGATTAGTCAGACACCATTTCCTCTTGCCGGAAACATGTTGATTTCCTTTAGCAGGTTCTGCTTCCTAAAGGAGTCACCACAGCCCCTGCAATAGGAAGAGCTTGGGCTTTGGAGCCAGGCAGGCCTAGGCCAGGTCTCCATTTAAGTTTTTTGTTTTTAATTCTCTTTCTTTTTTTGAGACAGGGTCTCACTGTTGCCCAAGCTAAAGTGCATTGGCGCAATCTCAGCTCACTGCAGCCTCAACCTCCCAGGCTCAAGTGATCCGCCTGCCACAGCCTTGCGAGTAGCTGGGACCACAGGCCCACACCACCATGCCTGACCCATTTTTATATTTTTTATAGAGACGGGTTTTGCCATGTTACTTGGGCTGGTCTTGAACTCCTGGACTCAAGGGATCTGCCCACTTCAGCCTCCCAAAGTGCTGCAATTACAGGCATAAGCCATCCTGCTCAGCTGGATCTCCATTTAAATTTAATGAGAGGCATATAACTATCATTTTTCCAGTGAAAGCTCACAGATGGTTATCTGCCAAGCAGTGTGCTAAGTCCAGGGACCCTGAGATACGAGTAAGATATGATTGCTGTCCTAAGGGAGCTTACAGGCGAGAGAGCATGTAAACGAATAATGATTCTATCATGAGAAATAGTAGGAATATGGCCTGGTTACTGAGGGGGCCATCATGTGACCTTGGATGGGTTATATAACCTCTGTGAGCTTTCACTGGAAAAATGATAGTGCTAATAATATGCATGCCCCTTACACCAGTCCTTTTCAGACATTTATGTGCATCCAAATTACCTGGGAATCTCAGTACAATATGGATCTCAATTCACTAGGTCTGAATTTCTTATTTGATTTGCTTATTTATTTTTGAGATAGGGCGTTGCTATGTTGCCCAAGCTGATCTTGAACCCCTGGGCTCAAGCGATCCTCCTGCCTCAGCCTCCCAAACAATGGGGACCACAGGCATAAGCCACCACACCTGGCTCTGGAGTGTTACAAAATCTCCCCAGGTGTTTCTAACATGCAGTGATATTTGAGAGCAAGTGTCTTTTGATTATAAAGAATAAAGAATGCTAGAGCCACATAAAATGCTGGGGAAAATGAAGGGTCTCAGGGTTGAAATGGACAAGCGTGTCCCAGATTCAGAGGCCAGGCCAGACAGCAGGCTCCTGAAGACCTGTGACCCAGTAGTTAGGGGATCAGGTATCCATGGTCCACAACAGTAGGGGCCTCCTCCATGTGGTTCTTCTCTTTTCTCTCACACCCACCCCACCCCTCCTGCCAGGTTCCCCAGATGATCGGGCCCCATGACAGTGAGTGTGGATTGATGAATGGGAGGAGAAACTGGGATAAAGAGAGCCCAAGGTGGCCGGGTGCAGTGGCTCACACCTGTAATCCCAGCACTTTGGGAGGCTGAGGCAGGCGGATCACTTGAGGTCAGGAGTTCGAGACCAGCCTGGCCAACACGGCAAAACCCCATCTCTACTAAAAATAGAAAAATTAGCTGGGTGTGGTGGCATGTGCCTGTAGTCTCAGCTACGTGGGAGGCTGAGGCAGGAGAATCGCTTGAACGTGGCAGGTGAAGGTTGCAGTGAGCCAAGATCGCGCCACTGCAGAAAAAAAAGAGAGCCCAAGGAAGGGACCTGGAACCCACTCTGGGACAACCCCCAAGGATTCTGTTTGGTTCATCAAATACGTATTGAGCACTTGTTATCTGCCAAGCACTGAGCTAAGTCCAGGGACCCAGAGATATGAGTAAGATATGACTGCTGCCATGAGGGAGCTCACAGGGGGGACAGCATGTAAATGAATAATTATTCTATTATGAGAAATAGTAGGAATATGGCCTGGTTACTGAGGGGGCCCGAAAGAGCAATTTCAAGGGGATCAGGGAAAATTTCCCAATGGTCAAGGTGTGTCTTGCAGAAAAAGTGGCAGTTTTCCAGTTAGATGTGGAGTGGGAGGAGGAACCCAGGTGCTTGTGAAATGCCATGGCCCATTGAGGGAGCTGGAATTCTTTTTTTTCTTTTTTGAGACGGAGTTTTGCTCTTGTTGCCCAGGCTGGAGTACAATGGCGTGATCTCGGCTCACCACAACCTCCGCCTCCCGTGTTCAAGCGATTCTCCTGCCTCAGCCTCCTGAGTAGCTGGGATTACAGGCATGTGCCATTATGCCCAGCTAATTTTGTATTTTTAGTAGAGATGGGGTTTCTCCATGTTGGTCAGACTGGTCTCGAACTCCCAACCTCAGGTGATCCGCCTGCCTTGGCCTCCCAAAGTGCCGGGATTACAGGCGCTAGCCACCGCACCGGGCCCCCAGGGAGCTGGAATTCTCTTGGTGAGGCTGGAGTACAGAGCATACGCAGAGCATGAATAGTAAGAGGAACCGGGAGGCCAGGCCAGCTCCCGGGGCCTGTCACTGCAGCTGACCTTGGATTTCATCCTGTAAGGAATGGAGGTCCATTCAGTAGTTTGAAGCCAAGGAGCAAGCATTCAGAGTTGTGCTGTTTTTTGTTTTTTGTTTTTTGTGATGAAGTCTCACTCTGGCACCCAGGCTGGAGTGCAGTGGCGTGATCTCGGCTCACTGCAGCCTCTGCCTCCCTAGTTCAACCGATTCTCCTGCCTCAGCCTCCTGAGTATCTAGGACTACAGGTGCACGCCACCACACCCAGCTAATTTTTGTCTTTTTAGTAGAGCTGGGGTTTCTCCATTTTGGCCAGGCTGGTATCGAACTCCTGACCTCAGATGATCCGCCCACCTCAACTTCCCAAAGTGCTGGGATTACGGGCATGAGCCACCGTCCCCAGCCCAGGGTTGTGTTTTTAGTGGATCTGCCTGGGTGTCATGTGGCAGAGGGGTGGAAGGGGACACTGAGGCAGTGGGGAGACCACAGCAGTGGTCCAGGAGAGTTGTGGGGGCTGCAATGAAGCCAGCAGGTAGCAGTGAGAATGAAAAATGGGGGGTGGTGGGAGCCGCACTGAGGAGCAGATTTGATGGCCTTGACTCACTGGCCAGATGCAACGGATGAGAGGCAGGGCAGGGATGAGGCGAG
Source organism: Homo sapiens (assembly GCF_000001405.40). Classification (NCBI taxonomy): domain Eukaryota; kingdom Metazoa; phylum Chordata; class Mammalia; order Primates; family Hominidae; genus Homo; species Homo sapiens. The sequence continues at coordinate 25,958,055 of NC_000002.12, read as the reverse complement.
GCAGGTGAGTCGCTGAGGATGCAGTGTAAGGGATTCTTCCCTCTCATGGTCCTGCAAATGCTGACCTGGAGTGTGAAGGAGGAGCCTAGGATGGGTTTAGGTCTGTGGCAAGGCAATGCGGTAAGAGGGGAGATCATTAACCAGGAGCGCAGGCGGCTGCAGTGTGGCAGCATGGACAGCCTCCAGGGCTCAAGGCCTCTTCCTCCTGCCTTGGCCTCTGAGGCTGTGTGGGGCTGGAATGAAGCTCGTGCCTCTCTGGCGGGCCCAACTTGCTCAGCGTCTTTGGGTGACAAAGCCTCACACAGCCCATTCCTTGACCTCCCAAAAGCCACTGTTAACCCCTGTCTGGCTGTGTTCCCAATGATGTGGCTCTTACAGGTGGTCTCCTGCTCCCCAAGTCTGACAGCACCCCCTGCTTTGAGATCCCTCAGGTAGGTCAGCTGTTTCCACTGGGAAAAATTCCAGTGGAGAAGCAGCCAGCTTTTTCCACTGGTTCAAGGTGATTTCAACCTTCCAGGAGGCCCGTGATGAAGCCAGAGGACAACTGGGTACCCTGGGACAGCACCTTCTTCTTATTTTATTTTCATTTTCTAAAATTTCAAATCGGGCACCCCCCCAAACCAGAATAGGTTTTGAAAGGCTGCCGACAGCACCCTCTTGAAAATACATTTTATGTAGTCACAGTTTACACAAATCTGACATTATTTCAGCTTCAGATTCCAAAGCACTGACTAGGGGCTTTCACAGAGTGAGACTGGGGGTACGAGGTTCAAATCTCTCCTCTTTGCTACTCAATAGCTGCATGGCCTTAGGCTGGTCATTCTCAATGTCTTCATTTATTAAATGCGGAGGAGAATAGTCCCTCTTAGGGGGGGATGGAAACCATGGTGTTAAAGGCTTAGCTCAGCATCTAATAGATACTTAGCGCTCCACAAATGTTTGCCAGCCATCCTGGAACATAGGCGGTGTTCCAATATTGTAGATGACAGACCTGAAGGGATTAATTTGCCCAAAGCCTCGAGGTAAGTGGGTAGAACCAAGTCTTCCCGGCCCTCTCCAAAGCTCCTGCTGTGCTGGGCCCGTGCTGTTCCTTCTTGCTGTGCAGTCTGCTCCCTTTGGCTTTTCTTCTGCTTTCCACATCAGCTGAAGATTTAGACCCTTTCCTGCTGCCTGTGTTGAGAGCTGTCTTCCTGAGTTGGAAGCCAGTTAGCTAAAGGCTGGGCTACCTGGTGACTGTATCTTATCTTTCCCAATCCTCAACACCAGCTGGGTCCTGGTTGCCAGGATTAGGTTGCCACCCCCATCCTCCTCCTAGCCCTGGTGGACCAACCTTTCCTGTGTACCCAAAGCAAACAGACCAGTTGCCCTAGATTCCCCGAGGGGCACCCTCTGTGCCTCCCTAGTGTTCCTGCTGACAATAAGAGCCTTGTGCTGGGACCTGAGACACTAGAGGGGAAAACTCCATTCTCCCTGAAAGCCACAAGGCCCCATCTGGGACACATCTGGTGTCCACTCCCAGAAGGACCACAGAGCAGGGAAGCAAAATCTCTCCAGCTAGCAATGTTGTGGACCCTTTGCAAAGCCCACCTCCCAACCCCTCTGTGTCCCCAGGCCATGGAGAGCAAGCTCCTCATCGGGGGCAGGAACATCATGGATCACACCAACGAACAGCAGAAGATGTTGGAACTGAAGAGGCAGGAGATTGCCGAGCAGGTAGGGCCTCCAGGTGCCAGGTCCCCTTGGAGAGTGTGGCCTGCAGCTCATGTCTGGGAGGTGCAGGGCCGTAAACCATGGTGGACTCTGGATCTCTGGAATTACAGTGCTGAGAATCTCAGACATGCCACCCTGGGTCCCACAGGTCTACTAGCCCAGGGTCTTCCCTTTGGCAGGGGCACTGCTAGCTGGTGGGCGAGAGGACGTGATAGCTCTCCATAACATCAGCCTCCACAAGCCACCTGGTACTAATTCCTGGGCCTTCCACAAGGTGGTGTGAGTTCTTTGCCAACTGTATGACTGTTTCCCTAAATCATCAAGAGCCACAGTTTGTTGGTCTTACCAATCAACCATTATACTACTTGGGGAGAGGGTGAGGCAGCTTGGAAGGCAGTGTGATGTGCCTCCATCTGTGTGACTAACGCCTCTGGAGTAGGCCAGCTCTTAGGGGCTGGGGTCTCCATCCACATGGGGCAGAGCCTGGCAAAGGCATGGCCCTGGGAACTGAGAGGAGGGTTCCCAGGGGCTCTGCAGGATTGGGTGGGAGCAGTGGATGTGGGCCATGGGCCATGGTGAAGCCAGGTCCCGAGACAGGCAGAGTGAGCCAGTCCCCTGAGCTTTCCTGGCCCTCCCGAGTATGCACTGCTCCTTTGAGCCACACTGCCCGTCCTTGGCCTAGAAACGTCGTGAGCGGGAGATGCAGCAGGAGATGATGCTCCGGGACGAGGAGACTATGGAGCTCCGGGGCACCTACACATCCCTGCAGCAGGAGGTGGAGGTCAAAACCAAGAAACTCAAGAAGGTGAGACGCTGCAGCAGGACCGGTTAAGGTGTGCTGGAGGCCCAGCAGTCTCTGCCCAAGGGATGTGTGCTTCAGGGACTCCTCCCCATTTGGCTGGAACTGCTGAACCCCTGAGTGACATGGCTTGGCCTCGGGGGTGAGCAACAGGGGGAGGCAGGAGGCGGGGGCTGGGGGTGGAGTAGAGCCTTTTCTCCTGGGCCAGGGTGGGCTATGACAGGCTGCAAACTCTGTCACTTGCAGTATCCAGCGTTACCATCTTCATGGTCCTGGGTGATTACCCCGTTCAGTGTCACCAGTGAGTCACAGTTGGGATAGCTGGGCCTGGAGCAGGGCCAGGGGAATACAGAGAGGCTGAGGAGGAGACTGGAACCCCGGGAAGCTCAGGTGGGGAGTGTAAGGCCCTCAAGGACATGTCAAGGGATGAGAATAGCCGCTCACCAGAACCCTGCAAAGCCCGTGGCAAGGGAAAGACATGTACATGTGAGGGGGGTCTAGGGCAGGAAGCAGCAAAGCTCTAGCTTGGATTCTGGGAAAAACCTGGAGGCCCTTCGGGGTGGGTGATGTGGCTGCCCAGGGGCAGGCCTGGCAGAGGCACTGCCACTGTGGCAGTTACCACGGACCCAGCCCTCAGTGGCTTTGGAGAGGAGCAGGATGGCCATGCTACCTCCACACCCCACTTTTGAGAGCCCCTGAAGAGACTGGAGTGGGAGGGGTCACCTTCCAAACTCGTTCAGGCTTCCTGCTTCCTGAGCTGGGTCTCCAAATAAGCCCCGGGTCCTAGTTCCGGCTCTTCTATTGGCTGGTTGTGTGACCTTGAGCAAGTCTGTGCCTGGCTTCCTCATCTATGAAAGGAGGGTATTGGACCAAAAGGTCCCTGGGGTCCCCTCCCGTTTGAACATTCCACGATGCTGATAGCAGCTGAGAAAGAGCAGACAATGGTCACAGGCCTCAGTGAAGGAGGGCGGGGCACCACTTTAAATAGCCCAGCCCAATTCGTGGTGGGTTGGGCACAGCGGGGAGTTCAGAAAAGGACCCGCAGCCTCATCCTGGGCTGAGTCGGTAGACTCTGAGCCTGCAGCCCTGCGGCCCAGGCTGGGTGACTGGGGCCTCGTTGCCACACCAAGCAGCCTCTGAGTGGCACCTGTCCCCACCCAGCTCTACGCCAAGCTGCAGGCGGTGAAGGCGGAGATCCAGGACCAGCATGATGAGTATATCCGCGTGCGGCAGGACCTGGAGGAGGCGCAGAACGAGCAGACCCGCGAACTCAAGCTCAAGTAGGGCCCGCAGCTCTTTTCATCCCGGGTCCCCACAGCCAGCCATCATTACTCAGGCCTCTCCTCCCCTAAGGCCTCATCCTGACTGTCTCCTCTCCCATGAGTCCTTTAGGAATAAAATGCGTCTGAGGGCTGAGGGATGGGCCCACGTGCTGGAGTTTCTTCTACCTCCTCTGCCTGTATTTGATGAACCCCTCAAAATGGACGCTAGGTGCTGGCCAAAAGTAACTCCGAAGGCCCTGAGGCTACCATCTTTGCATAAGAATCAGTGATTTTAAATTTTTTAAAAATTATTTTTAGGGCCGGGCGCAGTGGCTCATGCCTGTAATCCCAGCACTTTGGGAGCCGAGGCAGGTGGATCACCTGAGGTCAGGAGTTTGAGACCAGCCTGATCAACATGGTGAAACCCCATCTCTACTAAAAATACAAAAATTAGCCGGGCATGGTGGCGCGCACTTGTAATCCCAGCTACTCAGGAGGCTGAGGCAGAATTGCTTGAACCTGGGAGGTGGAGGTGGCAGTGAGCCGAGATCATGCCACTGCAATCCAGCCTGGGCGACAGAGCGAGACAACGTCTCAAAAAAAAAAAAAAAACAAAAACAAAAAAGGCCGGGCGCAGTGGCTCATGCCTGTAATCCCAGCACTTTGGGAGGCTGAGGCAGGTGGATCACGAGGTCAGGAGATCGAGACTATCCTGGCTAACACGGAGAAACTCCGCCTCTACTAAAAATATAAAAAATTAGCCGAGAGTGGTGGCGGGCGCCTGTAGTCCCAGCTACTTGGGAGGCTGAGGCAGGAGAATGGTGTGAACCTGGGAGGCAGAGCTTGCAGTGAGCTGAGATGGAGCCACTGCACTCCAGCCTGGGCGACAGAGCAAGACTCTGTCTCAAAAAAAAAAATTATTTTTAAATTTGTTTTAAAAATTATTTTAAAAAATGTGTGTATATAGTAGTTGCATATATTAATATTGATGGGATACATTAGATTTTTTTTTTTTGGAGATGGAATATTGCTCTATCATCCACCCTGGAGTGCAGTGGTGCAGTCTTGGCTCACTGCAGCCTCCACCTCCCAAGTTCAAGCGGTCCTCCTGCCTCAGCCTCCTGAGTAGCTGGGACTACAGGCGCCCACCACCACACCTGACTAATGTTTGCATTTTTAGTAGAGATGGAGTTTCGCCATGTTGGCCAGGGTGGTCTCAAACTCCTGACCTCAGGTGATCCGTCCTCCTCGGCCTCCCAAAGGGCTGGGATTACAGGCATGAGCCACCTCGCCTGGCCACATGAGATGTTTTGATACAGGTGTGCAATGTGAACTAAGCACATCATGGAGAATGGGGTATCCATCCCCTCAAACATTTATCCTTCAAGTTACAATAATCCAGTTACACTCTTTAAGTTATTTTAAAATATACAATTTGCTGGCTTATACCTGTAATCCCAGCACTTTGGGAGGCTGAGGCAGGTGGATCACCTGAGGTCGGGAGTTTGAGACCAGCCTGGCCAACGTGGTGAAACCCCATCTCTACTAAAAATACAAAAATTAGCCAGGCATGGTGGCATGTGCCTGTAATCCCAGCTACTCAGGAGGCTGAGGCAGGAGAATCACTTGAACCCAGGAGGTGGAGGTTGCAGTGAGCTGAGATCGTGCCATTGCACTCCAGCCTGAGCAACAAGTGCAAAACTGTCTCAAAAAAAAAAAAATATATATATATATACACACACACACACACACACACACATATATATACAATTAAGTTATTGACTATAGTCACCCTATTGTGCTATCAAATAAAAGTATTTATTCATTTTTCTAATTTTGTGTACCTGTTAGAAGCAGTGATTTTTCAAGCTGCAGTATTTCTGTAGGGATCCTTTCCCCTTAACTTCTTGATTTTCCCCACCTCCACATTGCCTCTGCCTCTTTTTTTAAAATAAATAAATAATTAATTAACTTATTTTTTTTTGAGACGGAGTCTCACTCTGTCGCCCAGGCTGGAGTGCAGTGGTGTGATCTAAGCTTACTGCAAGCTCTGCCTCCCAGGTTCATGCCATTCTCCTGCCTCAGCCTCCTGAGTAGCTTGGGACTACAGGCACCCACCACCACGCCCAGCTAATTTTTTTTTGTATTTTTAGTAGAGACGGAAATGGTGTTTCACTGTGTTAGCCAGGATGGTCTTGATCTCCTGACCTCGTGATCCGCCCGCCTTGGTCTCCCAAAGTGCTGGGATTACAGGCGTGAGCCACCGTGCCCAGCCCCCTCTGCCTCTTGGCTTGTTGCTTCTAATCCTTCAACCCTCACATGCACCACGTGGTCTCTCGCTCACCCATTTTCCCATCACTCCTTCATTCCTGCTCCCAGGTACCTAATCATCGAGAACTTCATCCCGCCGGAGGAGAAGAACAAGATCATGAACCGGCTTTTCCTGGACTGTGAGGAGGAGCAGTGGAAGTTCCAGCCACTGGTGCCAGCCGGCGTGTGAGTCTCTAACCCAGCTGTCTGGGCTGGGGGACTTGTGGGTCCACTCCAGGTCGGGGCTGGTGAGGGGCCTGAGGCCTTGCCTGCAGGGAGACAGATGTTTTGTGGATTGGGGAAAAGATGGGGAGGATGCCGATGGGGGATGAATTTCTCAGGATCTAATTGTAGGGGTCTCTATGATGGAAGGGTGTTCTGGGAAAAAAAGTGTCTCATTGGCCTGGGATGCAGAAAATACCTTGTGAGGGATCTCGGGAGGGAGGAAGAGCATCTCAGCCTCTTGACAATCCTAGCGAATGCTAACATCTGGCCAGGTCTGGTGAATATTCATTTGTCAGATGCCCGAAATAGCAACCACAGTTAATATTTGCCAAGCGCTACTGTGTGCCGGATGCTGTGCAAGACTCAGGAGACAGAAGATAAATTAGACATGGTCCGAGCTCACAGTCCAGTGGGAAATAAGTAATCAGATCATGATGTGATAGAGCTGTGATCCAATCTCAGTGCGCTCGCTCATCCGGGTGATTTCAGCATTTCCACCTGTTTCCATGTCCTAGTCCTTGGGTGCAGCTGCGGCCATTGGCTGGGTGTGTGGCTCCCTCTGCTGGTGGCCATGAAGAACATCCCAACAGAGTGAGGCCTTGCCCGGCTGAACCATGGGCCCTTAATTGCAAATATATAGAGAGAGGTGCTTAGGAGGCTGGACACCAATGCACCTTCCTGGAGATTATTTGCTCTCTCTAGAATATTAATGTTAAAATAGGGCAAGAGTCTCCCTAAATCTGGGATGGGAAGCTAGCAAGAGGTCTACAGCTTCTCACTGAAGCATCAGATGCCTACTTGGTTATTTTTTTTTTCCTTTCTTCCTTTTCTTTTCTTCTTCTTTTTTTTTTTTTTAACAACTATAGCTTAGATGCCTATTTGATCTTTCTTAAAGGCTGATTTTACTTAAGGTGATACCACATAAGTTTGTAAGTGGCAAGCACGTGAATAGAGGACTTTTCAATGGTATTACTTTGCACCTACAATCCACCTTTCCAATCTAGGTAGAGATTCTCAATAGTACATCAGCTGTCATAGAGGTTTTCCACCCTGGCTGGAGCTAGAATACCTGCAGAGAGTCTGATTTAAAGGGTCCCAGGTCTTAGGTTTTGTGATTCTGCATTTGAAGCCAGGCTAGAAAACCACTGCTCCAATGACATTTGCTGGAGTTGGATGCTGGCGAGGCTTCACTCTGAAGGGTTATCTTATGCTTAGAAAAGTTCTTTCTAGCTGGGCGTGGTGGCTCAAGTCTGTAATCTCAGCACTTTGGGAGGCTGAGGCAGGTGGATGGCCTGAGGTCAGGAATTTGAGACCAGCCTGACCAACATAGTGAAACCCCATCTCTACTAAAAATACAAAAAAAAATTAGCTGGGCGTGGTGGCAGGCGCCTGTAATCCTAGCTACTAGGGAGGCTGAGGCAGGAGAATCTCTTGAACTCGGGAGGTGGAGGTTGCAGTGAGCCAAGATCACTCCATTGCGCTCCAGCCTGGGCAACAAGAGCAAGACTCCGTCTCAAAAAAAAAAAAGAAAAGAAAAGAAAAGGTCTTTCTGCTGGGCATGGTGGCTCATGCCTGTAATCCTGTAATCCCAGCATTTTGGGAGGCCGAGGCGGGTGGATCACTTGGCGTCAGGAGTTTGAGACCAGCCTGGCCAACGTGGTGAAACCCCGTCTCTACTAAAAATACAAAAAATTAGCCGGGTGTGGTGGCATGCACCTGCAGTCTCAGCTCCTGGGGAAGCTGAGGCAAGAGAATCACTTGAACCCAGGAGGCAGAGGTTGCAGTGAAACTTGCTCTTTCGCCCAGGCTGGAGTGCAGTGGTGTGATCTTGGCTCACTGCAACCTCCGCTTCCTGGGTTCAAACGATTCTCGAGCCTCAGCCTCCCCAGTAGCTGGGATTGCAGGTGCATGCTACCACGCCTGGCTAATTTTTTGTATTTTTAGTAGAGACGGGGTTTCACCATGTTGGCCAGGCTGGTCTTGAACTCCTGAGCTCAAGTGATCCACCTGCCTCAGCCTCCCAAAATGCTGGAATTATAGGCATGAGCCACTGCACCAGTCCTTAGAAAAGTTCTTGAGTTTAAAGTTTGCAGGTGAAGGAATTTCTTTACATTGGATGTAGTAGTGCCACCAATGTGCTCAACTAGTTGTGGGATGGGAGAGGCTTTGAGAAGGTGTGCATTAACTTTTGTTGTTGTTGTTGTTTGAGACAGGGTCTCACTCTGTCACCCTGGCTGGAGTGCAGTGGTGTAATCACAGCTCACTGCAACCTCAGCCTCCCCAGGCTCATGTGGTCCTCCTCCCAGCTAATTTTTTTTTCTTTTTTTTTGGTATTTTTTGTAGAGACAGGGTTTTGCCATGTTACCCAGGCTGATCTCGAGCTCCTGGGCTGAAGCGATCTGCCTGCCTTGTCCTCTCAAAGTTCTAGGATTACAGGCGTGAGCCACTGCGCCTGGCCACGTCAGCTTTTTATTTTGAAAACAAGAATTGCAAGAATAGTATAAAGAATTCTCGTATACCCTTCACCAGATTATTAACATTTTGCCATATCTTGCTTTAACTTTCCCCCAACCACTTGAGATTAAGTTGCAGACATTTTGACCTTTTACCTGTACTTCCGAAAAATGAGAACATTCGTGTTCCACAGTGCAATGATCAAACTCAGGAAATTTTGTATTGTCACAATATTATTATATAGGCAATATTAAAATTTGCCAATGTCCTTTATGATGATTTCCCTCCCTCCCCACCTGCAGTCATGCATTTCATTTAATTGTCATGACTCTTTGGTCTCCTTTAATGTGGAACTGAGAAGGGATTTTGACTTGAGTTTAGCAGTTTCTTGCTTCAGAGGAATTTATTCATTTCTCAAAACACTCTGCAATTTTGACTTGACTGCCTCAAGCACATGATCCAGACTCAAAGTGTGGCAGGTGCTTTACCTGAAGTTCGAATGAGCTTTCTGCATAATGATTATGAATTTCCTTCCCTCCCTCCCTCCCTCCCTTCATTCCTTCCCTTTCTTCTTTCTTTCCCTTCCTTCCTTCCTTCTTTCCTTCCTTTCTTTCTTTCTCTCTCTCTTTCTCTCTTTCTCTTTCTCTCTTTCTCTTTCTCTCTCTCTTTCTCTCTTTCTCTTTCTCTTTCTTTCTTTCTCTTTCTCCCTTTCTTTATTTTCTTCCTTACTTCCTTGCTTGCTTTCTTGCTTTCTTTTTTCTTGAGTCTCACTCTGTCACCCAGGCTGGAGTATATAACTCACTGCAGCTTCGGGCTCCTGGGCTCAAGTGATCCTCCTGCCTCAGCCTTCTGAGTAGCTGGGGCCACAGGCATGCACCACCACACCAGCTAAATTTTTTATCTTTTGTAGAGACAGGGTCTCACTTTGTTGCCTAGGCTGGTCGTGAGGTCCGGGGCTTAAGCGATCCCCCTCCTACTGCCTCCCAGGGTTGGGATCACAGGCATGAGCCACCCCACCCAGCCTGGACTTCCCCTCCTTATTTATGTTATTTATTTATTTGTATTATTTTTGAGACAGAGTCTATCTCTGTCTGCACTCAGGCTAGAGTGCAGTGGTGTGATCACAGCTCACTGCAGCCTTGACCTCCTGGGCTCAAGTGATCCTCCCACTCAGCCTCCCAAGTAGCTTGAACCAGCAGGCAGTCGCCACCATGGCCAGCTCATTTTTTCTTAAATGTTTTTTAAAAGTTTGCTTTCTTCCACCAGGTGTTCATGCCTGTAATCCCAGCTACTCTGGTGGCTGAGGCAGAAAGATTGCTTGAGCCCAGGCTATTGTAAGCTAGGATCATGCCACTGTACTCTAGCCTGGGCGACAGAATGAGACTTCATCTCTAAAATTTTTTTTTAATTTACTTTCTTCCTTTTAAGTAACCCTTACTTCAATTGCAAACAATGTTTTCATTATGGAAAATTTAAATAAACATAGAAAGAATGAAAATTCCACCTAGCTAGTAGTAGTGTTTACTAACAATTGGATTTGAACTTTCCACCATCTTTTCTTTTTTTATACATAAACTTTTCTCCTTTTGAGGGTTAAAATGGTTTGTATATGCTGAAAAAAACCATTCACAGATTTTAAAAATTAAAATAGCTACCTTAAAACAGCATACTTTAATTAATTTTTACAGTAATACCTATAATAACTTTTTTTTTTTTTGAGGCAGTCTCGCTCTGTCACCCAGGCTGGAGTGCAGTGGCGCTATCTCAGCTCACTGCAAGCTCCACCTCCCGGGTTCACGCCATTCTCCTGCCTCAGCCTCCCGAGTAGCTGGGACTACAGGTGCCTGCCACCACACCCGGCTAATTTTTTGTAGTTTTAGTAAAGACAGGGTTTCACCATGTTAGCCAGGATGGTCTTGATCTCCTGACCTCGTGATCTGCCCGCCCCGGCCTCCCAAAGTGCTGGGATTACAGGCACAAGCCACTGCGTCGGGCCCCTGTAGTAACTTTTTAAAAAGAAAGAAGCTTGCTAGAATACAGATCTTTCTTTATTGTGTAAATGTTGCCAATTTCTAGCCCATTGTCTTTTTTACCCTGATCTTCTGCTTTAAAGGCAAGTTTGTGCTCTTTATTAAAGGATTCTAATGCTCTCTGCTCTTGTTGCCCAGGCTGGAGTGCAATGGCACAATCTCGGCTCATTTCAACCTCCACCTCCCGGATTCAAGCAATTCTCCTGCCTCAGCCTCCCCAGTAGCTGGGATTACAGGCGCCCACTACCACACTTGGTTAAATTTTTTTGTATTTTTAGTAGAGACAGGGTTTCACCATGTTGGCCAGGCTGGTCTTGAACTCCTGATCTCAGGTGATCCGCCTACCTCGGCCTCCCGAAGTGCTGGGATACAGGCGTGAGCCACTGCGCCCAGCCTTCTTTCTTTTTTTTTTTGAGATGGAGTCTCGCTCTGTCCCCAGGCTAGAGTGCAGTGGCGCGATCTCGGCTCACTGCAACCTCCACCTCCCAGACTCATGTAATTCTCTAGCTTCAGCCTCCCGAGTAGCTAGGATTACAGGTGCACACCACGACACCCAGCCAAGTTTTTGTTTTTGTTTTTGAGATGGAGTCTAGCTCTGTCGTCAGGCTGGAGTGCAGTGGCGCGATCTTGGCTCACTGCAACCTCCGCCTCCCGGGTTCAAGTGATTCTACTGCCTCAGCCTCCTGAGTAACCGGGATTACAGGCATGTGCCTCCACGCCCAGCTAATTTTTGTATTTTTAGTAGGGACTGGGTTTCACCATGTTGGCCAGGATGGTCTCGAACTCCTGACCTCGTGATCTGCCCACCTCGCCCACCAAAATGCTGGGATTACAGGCGTGAGCCACCATGCCCGGCCTAATTTTTATATTTTTAGTAGAGATGGGGTTTTACCATGTTGGCCAGGCTGGTCTCGAACTCCTGATCTCAAGTGATCCGCCCACCTTGGCCTCCCAAAGTGCTGGGATTATAGGCACAAGCCACCTCACCTGGCCCCCACCTTTCCTCTCTGTGATTCTTCCCACTGTCCTTGAGCAGGGAAAGTTGTGAAAAGAGAGTCAGTTCTTTGCCAGTGGAAACCTGGAAAACTCTGATTTTTCCTCAGAAGCTATTTGCTTTATTTTTATTTATTTTATTTTATTTTATTTATTTTTTGATACGGAATCTCGCTATGTCACCCAGACTGTAGTGCAGTGGCATGATCTCAGCTCACTGCAACCTCTGCCTCCCAGGCTGAAGCAATTCTCCTGCCTCAGCCTCCTGAGTAGCTGGGATTACAGGCACCCACCACCATGCCCGGCTAATTTGTTTGTATTTTTGGTAGAGACGGAGTTTCGCCATGTTGGCTAGGCTGGTTTTGAACTCCTGACCTCAAGTGATCTTCCTACCTCGGCCTTCCAAAGTGCTAGGATTTACAGGCGTGAGCCACCGTGCACATCCAAAAACTATTTGCTTTAAATTTACCTCCATAGTGTTAAGTTGTATTATTTTGCTGTTGTTGTTGAGATGGAGTCTCGTCTGTCACCCAGGCTGCGGTGCACTGGCACCATGATAGCTCGCTGTGTTGCCTGGGCTGGTCTTGAACTCCTGGCTTCACGCTAATCCTCCCACCTCAGCTTCCCAAAGTGCTGGGATTACAGGCAGGAGCCACTGCATGCAACTGGCCTTAAATTTTATTCTTTTTTTTTTTTTTTTTTTTTTTTGAGATATTCTCACTCTGTCACCCAGGCTGGAGTGCGGTGACACTATCTTGGCTCACTGCACCCTCCGCCTCCTGGGTTCAAGCAATTCTCATGCCTCAGCCTCCTAAGTAGCTGGGATTACAGGCTTGAGCCACCGAACCTGGCCTTAGTTTTATCCTTTGTAAAGGGACTACCCAGACCAAGAATTATTGAACCCAGGCTGCAGCTGTGAAAGGACAGGATTTTTAACTACCAGACTATAAAGTAGAGCAGCTTTTATAGTGTTTTCTTTTCCAAGATTCTTTGCAAAGAATTAGTCCTAACACACACTCATTATGCCCATTAATTTAAATCTGCATATAGTTGCTTCCACTTTGCATTTGTAAGTTTGTGTTGGCAACTCTTCTAAATGAATACCAATTGGACAGTGTTCCCTTAAATTTTTTTTTTTTTTGAGATAGAGTTTTGCTCTTGTTGCCCAAGCTGGAGTGCAATGGTGTGATCTCGGTTCACTGCAACCTCCACCTCCCGGGTTCAAGTGATTCTCCTGCCTCAGCCTCCTGAGTAGCTGGGATTACAGGTGCCCGCCACCACGCCTGGCTAATTTTTGCATTTTTAGAAGAGGCGGGGTTTCGCCATGTTGGCCAGGCTGATCTTGAACTCCTGACCTCAGGTGATCCACTCACCTCAGCCTCCCAAAGTGCTGGGATTACAGGCGTGAGCCACAGTGCCCGGCCTCCCTGAAATTCTTATATTGAAAATTTAAAGCTATAAATAGATTTACAAGGTTTTCCGAAATTATGGTTAAGTATATTCATAACTTAACCATGCTATTTTATGCAGAATATGTTTGTACCTGTTCAGAATAAAGACCAAGTACAACATATGTGAAGAAAATATGCAAATACATCTGGGTAGGGTAAAAGGCAATTATAGGCTGGGTACAGTGGCTCATGCCTGTAATCCCAGCACTTTAGGAGACTGAAGCAGGTAGATGGCTTGAGCCTAGGCATTTGAAACCAGCCTGGGCAACATAGCGAGGCCCCATCTCTACAAAAAAATACAAAAAGTTAGCCAGGCATTAGCACATGCCTGTACTCCCAGCTACTTGGGAGGCTGAGGTGGGAGGATTGCTTGAACCTAGGAGGTTGAGGCTTCACTGAGCTGTGATTATACCACTTCACTCCACCTGGCCTGGTCAACAGAGTGAGACCCTGTCTCAAAAAAAAAAAAAAAAAGGCAATTATGATTTACCAATGTTCTCTACTACACTTAAATACAAATTATATGAACAGTAATTACAGAATGCTCTAATATAATAAAGAATTCCAAGAAATAAATTACTTTAAAACAGTTATTAAGAAATATCAGGTAGCTGTGCACGGTGGATCACACCTGTAATCCCAGCTACTTGGGAGGCTGAGGCAGGGGAATTGCTTGAACCTGGGAGACAGAAGTTGCAGTGAGCCGAGATCATGCCATTGCACTCCAGCCTGGGCCACAGAGCAAGATTACATATCTATGAAAAAAAAAAGAAAGAAAGAAATATCAGGTAATCATGAATATATTCTTTTCTTTTTCTTTTTCATTTTTTTGTCACTGTCCACTTTGCTATGTCTGATGACTGCAATTTGCAGTATTTAATATTTATTTCAGAACTTTAAAAAATACAAAAATAGAAAAGGCAAGTAAAAAATGGTTCTAGGATTTTTTTTTTTTTTAGATAGAATTTTGCTGTTGTTGCCCATGCTAAAGTGCAATTGCGCAATCTTGGCTCACCCCTACCTCTGCCTCCCAGGTTCAAGTGATTCTCTTGCCTCCGCCTCCCGAGTAGCTGGGATTACAGGCATGTGCCACCACGCCTGGCAAATTTTGTAATTTTAGTAGAGACGGGGTTTCTCCATCTCTACTCTCCATCTCCAGCCTGTTGGTCAGGCTGGTCTCGAACTCCCGACCTCAGGTGATCCGCCCACCTCGGCCTCCCAAAATGCTAGTATTACAGGCGTGAGCCACCGTGCCCGGCCAGTTCTAGGATTTTTTATATGAAACAAGTTTTTAAAATTACTCTTTTTAAAGCCAAGATAAGATGGTTAGAATAAAGTAAAAACAATTCCACGGTAATTGAAATCCCAGTTGTGATTCTGACTTAGCAGAGAGAGTCTGGTGGGGCACAGTAGGGGGCAGGGAGCTGCTGGCCTGGATCTCTGAGGTCATCTGCCCCATGTCCCTCATTTCACCACAGAAGGTTGAGGGCAGGGAGGTCCTTGAACAAGGCAGCTTTCCTCATTTCAGGAACCATGGGGTCTGAGGCTGCAGCTGTGAAGCAAACTTCTCCACTCCCCAGAGAAAAGGTCCTTTCTTCAGCATTGGATCCCACCACTTGCCGCATCACTTAATTAGGGCTAAAAAACAAACAGAAAAGTTATTTCTCTCCAAAGCATATTTAACTAATTAGGGCGTTGTTCCATTTGCTCAACTCAAGTGTGGAATATTTTGCTTTATTTCGGCCTGTGGTATTCTGGGGATGAGAACACTAAGAGCTGCTCGAAGTGAGAGGAAAAAACATTGTTTGTAAGAAATTACCTGAAGTCATGCTGTCCCATTAGAAAGCTTCTGTTCAAAAAACATTCTTCCTCCACCTACTCCAGCTCTAAGCATCCATCCCACCCTCTGACCAGTGCCTCTCTCTCAAACAAGGAGTTGTCAGGCAGCTCTTGAGAAATATTCCTAATCAACTTATTTTGGAAGTTTAGCCCTTTCTTTTTTTTCTCTACCATCTCCATGTAGCCATTATTTGATATAAAATAATATAAGGTGAGGTGCCTTCCACAGTCATAATCTTGTATAATATTAAAGTTACTTTAAAAAACATTTTTGCACTGGCGCGGTGGCTCACGCCTGTAATCCCAGCACTTTGGGAGGCCAAGGCGGGCAGATCACCTGAGGTCGGGAGTTCGAGACCAGCCTGACCAACATGGAGAAACCCCGTCTCTACTAAAAATACAAAATTAGCCAGGTGTGGTGGCATATGCCTGTAATTCCAGCTACTTGGGAGGCTGAGGCAGGAGAATCGCTTGAACCCAGGAGGCAGAGGTTGCAGTGAGGCAAGATCGTGCTATTGCACTCCAGCCTGGGCAACAAGAGTGAAACTCCATCTCAAAAAAAAAAAATTTTTTTTTGCAACTAGGTCTAGCAATAAATATTTTACAAGTACAACCTTTTATTTTTAGTTTCTCATAATAGACCGTCGCCTAAGCTGGAGTGCAATGGCGTGATCTCAGCTCACTGCAACCTCCGCCTCCCAGGCTCAAGCGATTCTCCTGCCTCAGCCTCCCGAGTAGCTGGGATTATAGGCATGTGCCACCACGCCCAGCTAATTTTTGTATTTTTAGTAGAGACAGGGTTTCTCCATGTTGGCCAGGCTGGTCTCGAACTCCTGACCTCAGGTGATCCGCCTGTCTCGGCATCCCAAAGTCCTGGGATTATAGGCATGAGCCACTGTGCCCAACCTAGATTTTTAAATTTTATTTAATTTTTATCTATTTTTTTGAGACAGGGTCTCACTCTGTCACCCAGGCTAGGGTGCAATGGCATCATCTTGGCTCACTGAAACCTCTGCCTCCCAGGCTCAAGCAATCCTCCCACCTCAGCCCCCTGAGTAGCTGGGACCACAGGTACATGCCACGAGGCCCAGTTAATTTAATTTTTTGAGACAAGGTCTCACTCTGTTGCCCAGTGAGTGCAGTGGCACAATCTTGGCTCACCTTCTTGGCTCAAGTGATCCTCCCACCTCAGCCTCCTGGGTAGCTGGGACCTCAGGCTTGTGCCACCATGCCTGACTAATTTTTTATTTATTTTAGAGATGAGGTCTCACTACATTGCCCAGGCTGGTCTTGAACTCCTGGATTCAAGTGATACCCCCATCTCAGCCTCCCAAAGTATTGAGATTACAGGCGTGAGCCACCACACCTGGCCTAGACTTTAATTGTGTTTAGGTAAAATTGTCTTCTTCTTCTTTTTTTTTTTTTTAAATAGAGACAGGGTTTCACTATGTTGCCCAGGCTGGTCTCCAACTCCTGATGTCAAGCAGTTCACCCACCTCAGCCTGGGATTACAGGTGTGAGCCAGCCCCACAAAATTGTCTTCTAAAGGGTGATATATGTGACAGCATCCATACCCTGTGGTTTATGGTACACAAAATTCCATTGCAACTTTAGCCCTTTGACCTTTGTAACCCCAGCCACCCTAGATTCTTTTCTTTGTTTCTTTTCTTTCTTTTTTTGAGACAGGGTCTCACTGTGTTGCCCAGGCTGGAATGCAGTGGCACAATCATGGCTCACTACAGCCTTGACCTTCTGGGCTCAAGTGATCCTCCTGCTTCAACTTCCCGAGTAGCTTAGACCACAGTACAGACATGGACCACCATACCCAGCTAATTTGCTTTCATTTTTAGTAGAGACGGGGGTCTCACTATGTTGCCTAGGCTGGTCTCGAACTCCTGAGCTCAAGTGAACTCCTCCCAAAGTGCTGGGTTACAAGCGTAAGCCACTGTGCCCAGCCCCTAGATTCTTTTTAAAGGCATCATGGTGCAGTAGAGAGAGACTAGACTTTGGATTTAGAACATTCTGAATTTGGCCGGGTGTGGTGGCCCACGCCTGTAATCCCAGCACTTTGGGAGGCTGAGACGGGCAGATAACCTGAGGTCAGGAGTTTGAGGCCAGCCTGGCCAACATGGTGAAACCCCGTCTCTACTAAAAATACAAAAACTAGCCGCGTGTGGTAGTGGGCGCCTATAATCCCAGCTACCCAGAGGCTGAGGTAGGAGGAGAATCGCTTGAACCTGGGAGGCGGGGGTTGCAGTGAGCTGAGATCGCACCACTGCACTCCAGCCTGAGCAACAGAGCGAGACTCAAAAAAAAAAAAAAAAAAAAAAAAGAACATTCTGAATTCTAGCCCCTGCTCTGCCACTTACTAGTGGCCTTGAGTAAGTTTTTTTCTGTTGTTTTTTTGTTTTTTGAGATGGAGTCTCACTCTGTCGCCCAGGCTGGAGTACAGTGGCGTGATCTCAGCTCACTGCAACCCCCACTCCTGGGTTCAAGCGATTCTTCCGCCTCAGCCTCCAGAGTAGCTGGGATTACAGGCATACGCCACCACACCTGGCTAATTTTTGTATTTTTAGTAGAGATGGGGTTTCAACATGTTGGCCAGGCTGGTCTCAAACCCCTGACCTCAGGTTATCCACCCGCCTCAGCCTCCCAAACTGCTAGGATTACAGGCGTGAGCCACCATGCGCCTGGCCTTGAGTAAGTTTTTTTAACCTCTCTGAACCCAAATTTTTTCATCTGTAAAGTGGGGATAACAATATGTACCTTGCAGGACTGTCAAGGTTGAAATGAAATAATGTAAGGTTCCAGGCCTGTGCCTGGTGCGGAGGAGATGATCAATGAAGAGTTGCACTCACACTGATAAACCAATATTCTAATTATGGGGACTCTGGAGAAACCGGCCTGCTCTATCCCTTAGAAGTGCCCTACAAGGGCAGTTTGACTTTATGTTTTTGTTTTAGATGTTGATTTTTTGTTAAACTGCCTCTGGGTTTATTTTATTTATTTATTTATTTTCATTTTTATTTTTTTGAGACAGAGTTTTACTCTGTCACCCGGGCTGGAGTACAGTGGCACGATCTTGGCTCACTGCAACCTCCACCTCACAGGTTCAAGCGATTCTTGTGCCTCAGCCTCCTGAGTAGCTGGGATTATAGGGGTGCACCACCATGCCCAGCTAATTTTTGTATTTTAGTAGAGGCAGGGTTTCAATGTTGGCCAGGCTGGTCTTGAACTCCTGACCTCAGGTAATCCATCTGCCTCGGCCTCCCAAAAGTGCTGGGCTTACAGGTGTAAGCCACCTCACCCAGGCTCTGCCTCTGGGTTTAAAGAGAGAGTGTTTCTTGCTATAAATAGAATCAGGAAAGAAAGTTAAACTGGTTTTGTCACAGAGGCAAAGTTCACCCCAGTAAGAACATTCCTAGCTCTGCGTTGAGTCCCTGGATTTCTTCACAGACCTGTGAGAATTGAAGACAGTGTGAAGCAGGGAGCAGTTGCAGCTTCCCAGGCGGGTCGGGGACAGCATGGAGGGGAAATGGGAAGGCTGAGAGTTCAGACAAGCAGGGCAGTGGAACAAGGTGGACAGATGGCCTACCAGGAGAAAGCAGCCAGATCGAAGAGGAAAGCCTGACTGTCAGTGTTGAATGCACAGGAAGGAACTAGAAGGAAACACACCCGATGATGTCGGATGCCTGCTTTCAGAACAAGAGGGGGAGGCCAGCCGCGGTGGCTCACACCTGTAATCCCAGCACTTTGGGAGGCCAAGGCAGGTGGATCACTTCAGGCCAGGAGTTCGAGACCAGCCTGGCCAACATGGCAAAACCCCGTCTCTACTAAAAATACAAAAATTAGCTAGATGTGATGGCTGTCACCTGTAATCCCAGCTACTTGAATCTGGGAGGCAGAGGTTGCAGTGTGCCAAGATCTTGCCACGGCACTCCAGCCTGGGTGACAGAGTGAGGAAGGGAGGGAGAGAGGGAGAGCAGGAAGGAAGGAGAGGAAGGAGAGGGGAAAGGAAGTGATCAAACAGCCAGGAAAGAGAATGATGTCAACCCCTGAGATGGAGCTGAGAGATGACTTTTTAATATTAAAGGGGAAAAAATGATAGTAGCCAATTACGGAGGGAGGGTCCTAGGAGAACGCGTCAGATGTACTGCACGCAGGATAACTGTGGTTGTGGGGCCCTGCTGGGAGGGGTGCTTAAAGGGAGGGGTGCATAAACGCAGACCCAGGCCTCAGCTCCGGGCTGCCAAAACCTGCTTCCTACAGAGGATCAATCATGGAAAGTAGGCCTGGGGCAGAAGAGGGAGCCGATGGGAAGGTCGGTGCCCCAATTACAGACTCCCTTCCCCCAACCCTTCTCTCCCACATGCCACCCAGAATAGCCCTGGCATCTTTATTGGGTCAGGCTGCCAATTTGCGCTGATCCTCTGCTCACCCAGCCCTGTCCCTCTGTCCTGTTCCCAGCGCCTGAGCTTTCAAAGGCACTCACTGGCCCATCTGTTCTGGCCCAGTGTCCTCCTGAGAGATGATACTAGAGTCCTTGGGGGGAACCCCCACCCTGTGGCATAGAATGAGGTGTTGCCCGATTCAAAAATTTCACAAAATAATTTTTTTTTTTTTTTGAGACTCAGACTCACTCTGTCGCCCAGGCTGAAATGCAGTGGCACGATCTCAGCTCACTGAAACCTCCATCTCCCAGGTTCAAGCAATTCTCTGAGTAACCTCCTCAGTAGCTGGGGTTACAGGTATGTGCCATGCTCAGCTAATTTTTGTATTTTTGGTAGAGAGGGGGTTTTACCAAATTGGCCAGGCTGGTCTTGAACTCCTGACCTCAGGTGATCCACCTGTCTTGTCCTCCTAAAGTGTTGGGATTACAGGTGTGAGCCACTGTGCCCAGCCACAAAATAATAATAATTTTTTTTTTTTGAGACAGAGTCTCGCTCTGTCACCCAGGCTGGAATGCAGTGGCATGATCTCGGTTCACTCAACCTCCGCCTCCCAGGTTGAAGTGATTCTCTCACCTCAGCATCCTGAATAGCTGGGACTACAGGTGCATGCTACCACACCCAGCTAATTTTTATATTTTTAGTAGAGTCCGGGTTTCACCATGTTGGCCAGGCTGGTCTTGAACTCCTGACCTCAGGTAATCCACCTGCCTCAGCCTCCCAAAGTGTGGGATTACAGGCGTGCCGTGAGCCACCACACCTGGCCAATAATAATTTTAAAAGGAGTATATGGGAAGATTCAGATTCCTAGTCTCTCCCTAATTGCATGACCTTGGACACAAAAGGCGCTGCACCTCCCTGAGCCTCAGTCTTCTTTGCTCTATCCACACCTCCGGAGGTTGTTAAGTTCAGATGAACTGTGTAGAAGCACGTTGTAAATAAGTTGCCATTTTCCTAATTTTCCCACTCCCCTCTTAGAGGGGATGGCTCTGCATTTCCAGCAGCGTCTGCAGCAGGACTGTCTCCTTGCTGCCACTGCCACTGAGGCTGCCTCTCCTCACGGGCACGCCTCCCGGCATCCTGTAAGCTCAGCTGCAGACCCAGCTGGGGCTTCTGGAGCCTTATCTTTCCTTGTTTTCATCTATAGAGAGGGTCAGCAGGGACCACTAATGGGGTACGGCACCTTTTTATATGCATCATAAACTAAACCACAAGAATGTTATTTCCCATCACTGCCAGCTGCAGAAGGCAGCCATTGTTCTGTGGGCCCCTGCACAGCTTGTTCTGCTGTTCAAGGACAGAATGTCCTAAGCTTTGAGTTACTCGGCCTGTTTCTTCTCCTCTTCCAACTGTCGCCTTTTGACTTTTATCCTTGCTCATTTCATTTGTATCCCCACTTGAAATTAGCAAGTGGAATTGAAAATAAATCATAATCACAGCTGCCATGTGTTAAGCCCTGTGGCAGGTGTACTGTGCTAAGTGCTTGTCTTGTTTAATCTCAGAAATTCTGTATGATAGGGATGATATATCTGAGGCTCAGAGATAGTAAGCCACTTCCCCAAGTAAAAGAGCTTGAAGGGGCAGAGCCAGCATTCAAACCCAGGTCTGCCTTACTCCAAAACCTGTGTTCTTTTATTTTTTTAAATGGAAGTAGCTTTCTTGTTTTCTTTCCTTTCTTTTTTCTGTTTGTTTTTGTTCAGGGTAGTAAAAGTATTTTAATAATCCATCACACTCACCAAATTGCTGAAAGTGAATAGCACTCAATGAGCTCTCTAGGATGTAGACCAATGGAAACTTCCATAAGTGTAATCACTTTGAAAAGCAATTGACAATATCAAGTAAAGCTGAAAATCCACATACCCTGCAATGCAACACTTCCATTCCTGGATCCATACCCCAGGGAAAATGTTAAATATAAGCATGAAAATACCTTTAGAAATGTTCACAGCAGCATTCTTTACAAAACTGGATGGCAGGCATACAGATACATATTTCCTGTAGATGTTTGAACTAATTAATTAGTATAAAGTTATACATATTCATTGTAAAAAAATTTTTGAGATATTGCAGAAAGGCAGAGAGAAAATAAAAATCACCCATAATCACACAATTCAAAGATTATAACTGTCAACATTTTGTTGAATATCTAGACTTTTTCCTAAGCAGACACACACACACGCATTTCCTTAAAACTGGCCAGGTATGCTGGCTTATGCCTGTAATCCCAACACTTGGGGACACTGAGGCTGGGGGATCACTTGAGGCCAGGAGTTTGAGACCAGCCTGGACAACATAGCGAGACCCCATCTCTACAAAAAATTTAAAAATACAAACAAAAACTTCATCTTTTTATTTGCTCTTTTATTAATATATTGTGGCAGTCTTTCTGCATGTATGTAGAGCCACACACAAATTTTTTTGTTTTGTTTTGTTTTGTTTTTTTTTTTTGAGACTGAGTCTCACTCTGTTGTCCAGGCTGGAGTGTAGTGGCGTGATGTTGGCTCACTACAACCTCCGCCTCCCGGGTTCAAGCGATTCTCCAGTCTCAGCCTCCCGAGTAGCTGGGACTACAGGTGTGTGCCAGCGTGCCTGGCTAATTTTTTTTTTTTTGTATTTTTTTTAGTAGAGATGGGGTTTCACCGTGTTAGCCAGGATGGTCTCAATCTCCTGACCTCGTGATCCACCCACCTTGGCCTCCCAAAGTGCTGGGATTACAGGCGTGAGCCGCTGCACCCGGCCGAGCCACATAAAAATTTTATTGACTACATAAAGTTCCTTCATAGGACTGAATAGTAATGTAACTGGGTCCTAATAATTTAACCAACCCCATTTTGGTTGTTTCTAATTTTTTGCAGTTGTAAATAATGCTTCAGGGCCAGGCACAGTGGCTCATACTTAAAGTCCCAGCACTTTGGGAGGCTGAGGTGGAAGGATAGCTTGAGGCAAGGAGTTCAAAACCAGCCTGGGCAACAGAGTGAGACCCTGTCAAAAAATAACAAAATTAGCCAGGTGTGGTGGCACCTGCCTGTAGACCTATCTACTCAGGAGGCTGAGGCAGGAAGACTATTTGAGCCCAGGAATTTGAGGCTGCAGTGAGCTATGATGTTGCCATCACACTCCAGCTTGGGTGACAGAGCAAGACTCTGTCTATAGAAAAAAAAAAGGCTTCAGCAAATACCCCTGCATGTAAATTTTTCTCTTTACCTCTGATTATTTGCTTAGTGAAGTTCCTAGGAGGAGAAATTTGGGTCAAAGAATATGCATTTAAAATTTTATTATTTATTTTTTTTTAAGACTGAGTCTCACTCTGTTGTCCAGGCTGGAGTACAGCAGTGTGATCTCAGCTCACTGCAACTTCTGCCTCCCAGGTTCAAGTGATTCTTATGCCTCAGCTTCCCAAGTAGCTGGGACTACAGGTGTGAGCCACCATGCCCGGCTAATTTTTGTATTTTCTGTAGAGACGGGGTTTCACCATGTTGGCTAGGCTGGTCTCGAACTCCTGACCTCAGGTGATCCACCCACCTCGGCCTCCCAAAGTGCTGGGATTATAGGCATGAGCCACTGCGCCTGGCCATAAACTTTTTTTTTTTTTAAATTAGAGCTGGGATCTTCGCTCTGTAGCCCAGGTTGGAGTGCAGTGACTATTCATTGGCACAATCATAGCACGCTACAGCCTCAGACTCCTGGCCTCAGATGATCCTCCCACCTCGGCCTCCCAAAGCGTGGGGATTACAAGCATGAGTCTCTGAGGCTGGCCTGTTTGTTCATTGTTTAAATAACAGCTCTGTTGAGATGTAGTTGACCTATCATAAGTTCACCATTTTAAAGTGTACAATTCAGTGGATTTTTTTTTAGCTCTACTGCTTAATAATGTAGTGGATTTTAGTATATTCAGAGTTATACAACCGTCACCACTATCTAATTCCAGAACATTTTCTTTCTTTTTCTTTTTTTTGAGATGGAGTCTCGCTCTGTCTCCCAGGCTGGAGTGCAGTGGGGTGCGAGTCGGCTCACTGCAACCTCTGCCTCCCGGGTTCAAGCGATTCTCCTGCCTCAGCCTCCTTAATAGCTGGAATTACAGGCATGCATCACCACCCCTGGCTAATTTTTGTATTTTTGTCAGGGAAAGGGTCTCACCATGTTGGTCACGCTGGTCTCGAACTCCTGACCTCAAGTGATCTGCCCACTTTGGCCTCCCAAAGTGCTGGGTTTATAGGCATGAGCCACCACGCCCAGCCTAATTCCAGAACATTTTCATCACTCCAAAAAGAAACCCTGAACCAATTAGCAGTTACTCCTCATTCTCCTCAAAACCCCTTTCCCCAGACCTAGACAACTGCCAATCTACTTTCTGTTTCTATGGCTTTACCTATTCCAGATATTTTATGTAAATGGAATCACACAATATGTAGTCCGTTGCGACTGAGTTCTTCCACTTAGCAAAATGTTTTCAAGGTTCGTCCATGTTGGAACACTCATCAGTACTTCATTCCTTTGTATTGGTGAGTAATATTCCACTCTATGAATATACCACATTTGGTTTATCAACACATCAGTTGGTGGACATTTCGGTAATTTCCACTTTTTGGCTATTATAAATAATGCTGCTATGATCATTTGTGTACAAGTTTTCATATGAATACATGTTTTCAATTCTCTTGAGTATATGCCTAGTAGTGGAAGTGCTGGGTTATATGGTAAGTCTATGTTTAACTTTTTTTTTTACATTCTCACTAATAGTGTATGAGGGTTTCATTTTCTCTACATCCTCACCAACATGTGTTACTGTCTGTCTTTAAATTATAGTCATCCTAGTGGATCTGAACTGGTATCCATTGTGGGTTTTTTTTTTTTCTTTTGAGACAAGGTCTTAACCCTGTCACCCAGGCTGGAGTGCAGTGACATGATCACGGCTCACTGCAGCCTTGACCTCCCAGGCTCAGGTGATCCTCCCACCTCAGCCTCTCGAGTAGCTGGGATTACAGGTGTGTGCTACCATACCCTGCTAATTTTTTTTTGTATTTTTTGTAGAGACAGGGTCTTGCTATGTTGCCCAGGCTGGACTCAAATTTCTGGGCTCAAGGGATCCACATGCCTCAGCCTCCCAAAGTGGTGGGATTACAGGTGTGAGCCACCACACCCAGCCACCATTGTGGTTTTGATTTAGATTTCCCTATATGACTAATAATGTTGAACATCTTTTCATGTGCTTATCAACCATTTGTATATCTTCTGAGAAATATCTATTGAGATCCTTTGCCCTTTTTTTTTTTTGAAACGGAGTCTTGCAGAGTCTCACTCTGTCACCCAGGCTAGAGTGCAATGGCGTGATCTTGGCCTACTGCAACCTCTGCCTCCCAGGTTCAAGCAATTCTCCTGTCTCAGCCTCCCAAGTAGCTGGAATTACAGATACATGCTGCCACGCCTGGCTAATTTTTTGTATTTTACTAGAGACGGGGTTTCACCATGTTGCCCAGGCTGGTCTCAAACTCCTAAGCTCAGGCAGTCCACCTGCCTTGGGCTCCCAAAGTGCTGGGATTACAGGCATGAGCCATGGTGCCTGGCCCTGGAGTTTCAGTTCTATTTCATTAATCTATATGTTCGTCTTATGCAAGTTCTATAGTATCTTGGTTACTATAGCTTTGTAATAAGTTTTGTTTTGTTTTGTTTTGTTTTGTTTTGTTTTGTTTTGTTTTGTTTTTGAGATGGAGTCTCACTCTGTCACCCAGGCTGGAGTGCAGTAGCC
The DNA here is from genome assembly GCF_000001405.40 of Homo sapiens. Lineage (NCBI taxonomy): Eukaryota > Metazoa > Chordata > Mammalia > Primates > Hominidae > Homo > Homo sapiens. The sequence continues at coordinate 25,932,788 of NC_000002.12, read as the reverse complement.
AGATCTCAGCTCACTGCAACCTCTGCCTCCCGGGTTCAAGCAATTCTCCTGCCTCAGCCTCCTGAGTAGCTGGGACTACAGGTGTGTGCCACCACACCCAGCTAGTTTTTGTATTTTTAGTAAAGACAGGGTTTCACCATGTTGGCCAGGCTGGTCTCAAACTCCTGACCTCAGGTGATCCGCCTGCCTCGGCCTCCCAAAGCGCTGGGATTACAGGCATGAGCCACCACACCTGGCGCTTTGTAATAAGTTTTGAAACTGAGAAATGTGAGGCTTCTAACTTTGTTCCTTTTCATTTCAAGCCTGAGTTTTTAACCATTTTATTATGCTAACTCCTATGAAGAAAAATAGGCTGGGTGGAGTGGCTCATGCCTATAATCCCAGCACTTTGGGAGGCCGAGGCAGGAGGATTACCTGAGGTCAGGAGTTTGAGACCAGCCTGGCCAAGATGGTGAAACCCCCTGTCTCTACTAAAAGTTAAAAATTACCGGCCAGGCGCAGTGGCCTATGTCTGTAATCCCAGAACTTTGGGAGGCTGAGGTGGGCGGATCATGAGGTCAGGAGATCAAGACCATCCTGGCCAACATGGTGAAACCCCGTCTCTACTAAAAATACAAAAATTAGCTGGATGTGGTGGCATGCGCCTGTAATACCAGCTATTCGGGAGGCTGAGGCAGGAGAATCGCTTGAACCAGGGGGTCGGAAGTTGCAGTGAGCCGAGGTTGTGCCACAGCACTCCAGCCTGGTGACAGCGAGACTCCGTTTCCAAAAAAAAAAAAAAAAAACAAAACAGAAGAAACAACACACAATGAAGGCTGGGTGACAGTGAGACTCTGACTCAAAAAAAAAAAAAACAGCCAGGTGCAGTGATTCACGTCTGTAATCCCAGTACTTTGGGAGGCCAAGGCAGGGAGATCACTTGAGGTCAGGAGTTCGAGACCAGCCAACATGGTGAAACCCTGTCCTCTACTGAAAATACAAAAATTAGCCGGGTGTGGTGGTGTTTGCCTGTAATCTCAGCTGCTCAGGAGGCTGAGGCACAAGAATCACTTGAACTCAGGAGGCGGAGGTTGCAGTGAACTGAGATCGCACCACTGCACTCCAGCCTGGGTGACAGAGCAAGACTTTGAAAAAAAAAAAGTATATAAAGCTACAAGCTAAAGTGAGACTGGATTTCATTTCAGCCTTCAATCAGTCCTTTCTACTGCAGAAACAATTTAAAGCAACAGGAGTGAAGAAATATTAATATGTACCTCTTTGTGTTACACAGTAGTCTCCACTTATCCATGGGGGATACTTTTTTTGTTTTGTTTTTTGTTTGTTTGTTTTTGAGATGGAGTTTTGCTCTTGTTGCCCAGGCTGGAGTGCAATGGCGTGATCTTGGCTCACCACAACCTCCGCCTCCCAGGTTCAAGCAATTCTCCTGCCTCACTCTCCTGAGTAGATGGGATTACAGGCATGCACCACCATGCCCAGCTAATTTTTTGTATTTTTAGTAGAGATAGGGTGTCTTCATGTTGGTCAGGCTGGTCTCGAACTACTGACCTCAGGTGATCTACCCGTCTCGGCCTCCCAAAGTGCTGGGATTACAGGTGTGAGCCACTGCACCTGGCAGGGGATACGTTTTAAGACCTCTAGTGGATGCCTGAAACTGCAGCTAGTACCAAACCCTATATATGCTATGAGGTTTATTTTAAATTTTATTAATTTTTTTAAATTGTTGTGGGTACATAGCAGGTGTATATGTTTGTGGGGTACATGAGATGTATAAGACAAAACAATTATAACAATATACTCTAATAAGGCTGGGTGCAGTGGCTGATGCCTATAATCTCAGATCTTTGGGAGGCCAAGGCAGGCAGATCACTTGAGGTCAGGAGTTCGAGACCAGCTTGGCCAACGTGGTAAAACCCCATCTCTACTAAAAATACAAAAATTAGCCGGGTGTTAGGCCAGGCACGGTGGCTCACGCCTGTAATTCCAGTACATCGGGAGGTTGAGGTGGGTGGATCACCTGAGGTCGGGAGTTCGAGACCAGCCTGACCAACATGGAGAAACCCTGTCTCTACTAAAAATACAAAAAATTAGCCAGGCGTGGTGCCACATGCCTATAATCCAAGCTACTCGGGAGGCTGAGACAGAAGAATCACTTGAACCCGGGAGGCAGAGGTTGTGGTGAGCCAAGATCATGCCATTGCACTCCAGCATGGGCAATAAGAGCAAAACTTCGTCTCAAAAAAAGAAAAAATAAAATAAAGTAAAATTAGCCAGGTGTGGTGGTGCATGCCTGTAATCCCAGCTACTCGGGAGGCTGACGCAGGAGAATTGCTTGAACCTGGGAGGTGGAGGCTGCAGCGAGCTGAGATTGTGCCACTGCACTGCAGCGTGGGTGACAGAGTGAGACTCCATCTCAAAACAACAACAAAAACACAATATACTCTAATAGAAGTGATGCAGGTGTGTCTGTCTCTCGAAACATCTGATTGTACTGTACTTGCCTATTTTCAGACCACAGTAACTGAGACTGTGGAAAGCGAAACCACGGATGAGGGGGACAACTGCACTAGCTTCAGTTGTCAAGCTGTATTAGAGCAAGGAGAAGAAAATTCCAGAACTTGCAGTCTGCAGGGCCTCCTAGCTACCTGAATGATATTTAGGTCCTCATGATGTCATTTGCTGTTTGTGTTCCACAGAAATCCTTTCTAATATAGCCTCTTTCCTACAGCAGTAGCAGCCAGATGAAGAAGCGGCCAACATCTGCAGTGGGCTACAAGAGGCCTATCAGCCAGTATGCTCGGGTTGCCATGGCAATGGGGTCCCACCCCAGGTACAGGGTAAGAAGCGGAGAGGGGAGAAAGAGCCTACGGGAGGGAGGCCGGGCGAGGTGTCTCACACCTGTAATCCCAGCACTGTGGGAGGCCGAGGCAGGTGGATCACCTGAGGTCAGGAGTTCGAGACCAGCCTGGTTAACATGGTGAACCCCTGTCTCTACTAAAAATACAAAAATTAGCCAGGCGTGGTGATGGGTGCCTATAGTCCCAGCTACTTGGGAGGCTGAGGCAGGAGAATTGCTTGAACCTGGGAGGTGGAGGTTGCAGTGAGCCGAGATTGCACCACTGCACTCCAGCCTGGGCAACAGAGTGAGACTCCATCTCAGAAGAAAAAAAAAAAAGAGCCTATGGGAGGGGATGCTCACAGCCTCTGCTTCCCCTAACCACCTCATCAGCCCTGCTACACCCAAGACTGGCTGAGTCCCTAGAAGGCACAGTGACTGGGCACTGTTCAAGCCTGGCATGATATTCCCACCACAGGCTGAAAACATAATGTTTCTGGAGTTGGATGTGTCCCCTCCAGCTGTCTTTGAGATGGAATTCTCTCACGACCAAGAACAAGACCCTCGTGCGCTACACATGGAGAGGCTCATGCGATTGGACAGCTTTCTGGAAAGACCTTCCACGTCTAAAGTCCGAAAGTCCAGATCCTGGTCAGTACCTCCATGGTCCCAGGCAGCACTGGACCCAGGAGGCAGGGGAACTGCAGGCGCTGGGTGATGCTAAAGAGGGTTTTGCTGGTACCCGAAGGGCAGGAAGGGCAAGGGGTGACTGGGGATGTCAGAAGGATTCCTGCAGCAACAGGATGGGGCAAAGGAGAGGACCCACTTTCCTGTTTCCTGTATTTCCCTAACCTCCCCTTTCGCCTGCGTCATCTCCCCTGCAGGTGCCAGAGTCCTCAGCGGCCTCCACCTTCCACCACACATGCCTCCCTGGCCTCTGCTTCTCTGCGCCCTGCAACAGTGGCGGACCATGAGTGACAACCATCACGTCAGGCTGCCCATCCAATAGACTCCTGGGATGGGGCAGCCAACCCTGGCTCATCTCATCTGCCGCTTGGTGCGTGTGCGTGTGCGTGCATGTGCGTGTGCGTGTGTGCAGGGGTGAGAATCTGGCAGATGGTGCCTCTGCCTGCTCTTCTTCGCCTCCTTTATTTAATTCATGTTATTTATTCGCGGAGCTCTGTTCGTGTTGGGGAGATGCCCTCGCCTGAGCCGTCTGGGCCTACCGTGGTCACTGCGTAGCCTCTTTTTCTTCTGACTTGAGAGCTCCCCCAGTCAGATCTCAGGCTTGTCCCCCTGTCAGCTGCCTCCAGAAGGGAAGGTAGCCAGTGCCTGAGAAGACAGTCCCTTTTCTACCCACCGCACTCCATAACCTCCATCTTCTCCCACACTGATGGCGAGCAGCCCCTGAGCACTTTCTGGGACTGGGAGACTGCTTGGTGTTCCCTGAGGACAAGAGACATCCTGACAGTGTTGGGCATCTGCTCCCCGTGGACACAGCCCCACTCTCCACTTTCTGAGCCTCAGACAACCTCATTCAGCCTCTTGGGCTCCTTTTCAAGGACATTAATAACCTCACCAACATAGCTCATGCCCTTCAGCTTTGACAAGAACTCACAGCTTCCCAAACTCTGCTTTCTGCCCACCTTGGATGGGAACTGTGGACCAAGCAATTACCATCGCCTTGGAACCTGCAGGAAATGGAACAGCAATTGAGACAACTTGAACAGTCATCAACGGAAGTCCCTCCACTGGATTCCTTTGTTTCTGTCCCCTCCGAGGAGTCATTTTGGTCGACAGGCTCTCAAGGCAACTCCCCATTTTCAAGAGGCTGCTCCTGCCTGCTTCGATCATTTCTCCCTGCAGCTGCCTAGACCCCGTTCACAGTGGGAGGAGTCAATGTCATTCTACCCCTCGCTAAACGAAGATATTAACATCTATTGCTTTTTCCCTTCATCTGTCACAGGAAACAGAAGCCCAGGCACAATCTTTTCCAGCTTTGCCTGTTACCCCTGTTTCTGAATTGCATCTTTAAGGTATTATTTTGTTGAAAATAGATCCTTTATTCACTAGTTACGCAAATTGGTTCCTAGGGGGATACTCCTTACCTTCCTTTGTGATGGCCCAAAATGTCTCTAGGTATCTCAAGTGATAAGTAAATTTCTACAAAAAAAAATGGTTAATGTTCATTGACTGGCTTTTTAAGTGTATATTTTGGAGGACGGGTGAAGAGGTCATAACGAAAGCAAGCGAGTGAATTAGGATTTCAAAGTGCCCTAATAGTGTGAGTCTCCAGTTCCTAGAATATGAAGAGTGCTGTCGTTGGGGTGAAACCATGAGACTGACAGATCTGCCTGAAATGGGGGGTGTGGGAGGTGGTGGCGGGGGTTATTCTCTTTCCTTCAGGAAATGAACCCTTCTTACATCATTCAAGTTCTGCTCTGAGGATCAAGCTTGGGTCTGATTTAACTCAGCGACACTGTCATTTCTGCTTCATTACTGGACTAGAGGGTTGAGCCACCCACTTGCCATTTGCTCCTGTCCTTCCAGGAAATCACAATTTTCATCAGAGCCCAAGAGATTATTTGAGACTCAGGATTCAGATCAGAGGTTCGACTGTGGCTGGGACAGGAGTTGTGTGTAGAAATTCACCAGGTGGCCTGAGCGCAGGGGGACCTCCAGGGCTGCGTTGAGCAGCCTCTCCCACTGACCTCTTTCTCGTTTGTGGACAAAGCAGCACGTATCACCTCATTCATCACTTGGACACATCGCCTTTGCATTGTCTTGTCACACCTCCCTCACAGTCTTATAGCACAATATACCCAAATCAGCCCCCCCAGTCCGAGGGCTGGGCCCGAGGTATGGTCGGAGGAGGAGCTCCTGCCTGCGGTTTTGTGTATGTGTGTATGTGTGTGCGTGTTTGTGTGCGTGTTTACCTCCACAGGGGACACTCTACACTCAGTGTAAGATCTGCTGGGAACAGGGCCACCAGGAGTGGCTGGATCTCAGTCTCTCTGTCTCTCTTTCTCTCCTTTTCCTTTTGGTGTATCAAATATTTGATTGACAAAGTAAGGGCCTTGATTAGGACCAAATTCTCGTGTGTTGCTATGGTCTTTATTTAGGACAACAATTAACAATGCAGTGGCCCATTCTTGTCACTCTACACATATGACTATACGGGACATATGTAATATATAAATATATATATAAAACATTCCCCTCTGTCCCCTTGGCTTCGGATGGAGGCCTTTCTGTTGAGCTGAAATGCACCTGCAGCTGGGTGCTGCCAGCAGCTTGCAGGCCCCAGCCCTGTTCCAATCAATGCAGTTGACAATAAAGGAATGAGTATCGTCACGGAGTTGACTGCCTTACTTCTCTTCCCTTTGTTTCTTCCTACTTTAACTCCCTCCCTTTTTCATTTTCTCCTTTCTCTCTCTTCCATGTTTTTCCAGTAGGGGCTCAAGAGTATATCAGCCAGACGTGGTGGCTCACACCTGTAATCCCAGCACTTTGGGAGGCCCAGGCAGGCAGATCACCTGAGGTCAGGAGTTTGAGACCACCCTGGCCAACATGGTGAAACCCCATCTCTACTACATATACAAAAATTAGCCTGGTGTGGTGGCACACACCTGTAATCTCAGCTACTCTGGAGGCTGAGGCAGGAGAATCATTTGAACCCTGGAGGCAGAGCTTGTAGTGAGCTGAGATTGTGCCACTGCACTCTAGCCTGGGCGACAGAGCAAGACTCCATCCCAAAAAATAAAAATAAAAAGAGCATATGGATTCCAGCTGCAGTTATCAGCACTTTGGAAAAGAACTGGTTGCTTAATAAATGGAGATCTGTTTGCCCAATAGGGCTGGGGAGCAGGTCCCAGGCACTAGTCGGAAGTCTGTGCCGGGACTATGGCAGCAGCTGTTTGTGTTCTAGGCTGGTCGTCCCCAACCAGTTAATTCTGAGCAACTGGCAGATTTCAGAACTGCCTCAGTGGTGTCCAGATTAGCTGTCACTGTCATACTCCCTATGCCCTCATTGATCCACCAAAGGGGTTAAAGGAGGAAAGAATGCATGTAAACCACACAGATGTGCCTGGGCCTGATGGGTGCTGAATTACAATAACTTGAAAGTCTAGGCCGAGTGCGGTGGCTCACGCCTGTAATCCCAGCACTTTGGGAGGTTGAGGCAGGTGGATCCCTGAGGTCAGGAGTTCGAGACCAGCCTGGCCAACATGGTGAAACTCTGTCTTTACTAAAAATACAAAAATTAGCCAGGCATGGTGGTGCACACCTGTAGTCCCAGCTACTCGGGAGGCTGAGGCAGGAGAATCGCTTGAACACAGGAGGCAGAAGTTGAGGTGAGCTGAGATTGTGGCATTGCACTCCAGCCTAGCCAACAAGAGTGAAACTGTCTCGAAAAGAAAAGAAAGACTAGCTTCCCTTATCCTCTCTTCTCAGGACCTATTTTCCCTCCTGCTGGGTTCTAGCCACTAGCTCTCTGTAGTGTGGAGGTCTTACAGGAAATGAAAATTAGTTATTGCTAAAAAACAAACAAACACAAAGCTTTGAACCCTGACTCCTAGGGGAGCACTGAAGTTTGTCTGCTGCAAAAATCAGGCAGTAAACCAACTATTTTGGCACTGACAGTTTTCTTAGAGGGATGTCCTGTCTCTGTGCCAGGCTCTCACCCTGATCTCTAACAGGGTTCCAGGGCTGGAGTGGCTCTGCTGCTTCGGGGGCGTTTGCTAGGTATTGTGTAAGGTGCTTTACACACACAGACACACACACTCACACTCATTTCATTCTCCTAGTGAGAGGATTATGGTGACTGATTGAGAGATGGAAGTAAGCGAAATTAACTAACTGGCTAAAGACCCAGTACGTGATGAAGCTGGACTTGCAGACTCTAGAACCCATGTTTTGCCCTCTTTGCCACACTACTTCTCTAGCCCATGGAAAACTGACAGGCACTATACATGGTTCCCAAGTGGTGACAGCCAGGGACAGAGGACAGAGTGATTTATCTCAATGGGCAAGGTTCGGCATCAGACCAGATCTGCAGACCCTTGCCTAGAGGTCCTATTGTAAAACCACTCATTCAGGACAGGCGCAGTGGCTCACACCTGTAATCCCAGCGCTTCGGGAGACCGAGGCAGGTGGATCACCTGAGGTCAGGAGTTCAAGACCAGACTGGCCAACATGGTGAAACCCCATCTCTACTAAAAATATTTTAAAAACTAGCCGGGCGCGGTGGTGGGTTCCTGTAATCCCAGCTACTCGGGAGGCTGAGGCAGGAGAATTGCTTGAACCCGGGAGACGGAGGTTGCAGTGAGCCGACATGGTGCCACTGCACTCCAGCCTTGGCAACAGAGTGAGACTCCGTCTCAAAAAAAAACAACAACAACAACACAAAACCGCTCATTCCTCCATTAGCAGTGGGATCACCTGTACAGCAGGTGGTTTTCTTGAGCCCCACAGAAACAGCCAGGGGGTAGAAATTCTCCCTTGACCCAGGCCTCTGGTCTTTTGTTGATAGACAGTTCATTGATAAGGAAACTGCCATGTTTCACTTCTTCTTCCAAAACTGGACACCTGCTCTCCACAGAGTTACTTCTTTTTGTTCTCAGAACCTAGAGCTGGGGCGTAGAAAACACTACCCTTTGTCCTTGTCCCCTTGGCGTAGGATGGATGGGGTGAGTGTGAGTTAGAACTCTTGGCTACCACTAAAAAATCATTTAAGCTGGCCTGACCCAGAGGCGTGCTGTGGCACACAAAGGCAAGGAAAGACCCAGGCCTCAGGAATGACCTAGTACCAGGGACTCAAACACCACAAAGACCCTCTCTGTTTCACCACACTTCCTTCTGTGTGGGGTTCACACTCTGTCCTCAGCTGCTCCAGTTCATGATGTAGGAAACACATCTGCTAGCAGCTCTCTGGGTACATGATCCAGCCATCCGGAGAGAGTTAGCATCTTGGTCCCAATGCCAAATTTATGGGAATGGGACTCTGATTTAGCAGTTTGGGTCAGGTAGGTGGGAATATGATGTACGAACAAAACCTCCAAGAGTCCCAAGGCTGTAACCATGCAGATGTGGGGGAGGGATGAGGTAGAAATAAAAGTATTTCTCAAAAAAGATGATGGAAGTAGGAGTGGAGTCGAATGGGCTCTGGGCAGCCAGCACAACAGATGTTCTTTGCCAGTGTGTCCATCACCCAGGAGGATGGCTTTAGAAAATTTTAATCTGGAGCCGGGCATGGTGGCACACGCCTGAAATCCCAGCTACTCAGGAGGCTAAAGGCAGGAGGATCGCTTAAGCCTGGGAATTCAAGATCAGACTGGGCAACATAACGAGACACCGTCTCAAAAAAAGAGAGAAAAAGTGAAAAAGAAAGAAAATTTCAATCTAGGCTCATTTTATTACCCCGGCCATTTTTCTTTTTCCTTTTCTTTTTTTTTTTTTTTGAAACAAGAGTCTTGCTCTGTCACCCAGGCTGGTGTGCAGTGGTGCTATCTCGGCTCACTGCAACCTCCCCCTCCCAGGTTCAAGCAATTCTCCTGCCTCAGCCTCCCGAGTAGCTAGGATCACAGGCACCCACCACCACATCCAGCTAATTTTTGTATTTTTTCAGTAGAGACAGAGTTTTACCACCTTAGCCAGGCTGGTCTTGAACTCCTGACCTCAGGTGAGCCACCTGCCTCAGCCTCTCAAAGTGCTGGGATTACAGGCGTGAGCCACAGCGCCCGGTCTACCCTGGCCATTTTTCTTACAATGTGGTCCAAGAGTTACCTGGATCAAAATTACTATCCTTGGCTGGGCACAGTAGCTCACACTTGTAATCCCAGCACTTTGGGAGGCCAAGGCAGGCGGATCACCTGAGATCAGGAGTTCGAGACCAGCCTGGATAACATGGTGAAATCCCGGTCTCTATTAAAAATACAAAAATTAGACGGACGTGGTGGTGGGCACCTGTAATCCCAGCTACAGGCAGGGGAATAGCTTGCATCCAGGAGGCGGAGGTTGCAGTGAGCCTAGATTGTGCCACTGCACTCCAGCTTGGGTGACAAGGGTGAAACTCCGTCTCAAAAAAAAAAAAAAAATTACCATCCTCAGATTCTGCTTGATCAGGTCCAGGATAAACCCACTGGTAGACACTACAGGTTGCCTTTCCAATATCCATTCTTCCCTTCCTCCTTGCTTAAAAGATAATTTTGTTCAAGAAGGGCAGTGTGCCCAGGTAAAAATATTCATATTCCCAGACTCTTACAGCAATGGGTTGCCATGTGACATGGTTTTGGCTAGGAGATGTAAGTAGAAATCTGCTAGGGATTTCTGGAAAAGTTTTTGCTTTCCTGATATAGATACCATCCTTTTCTCCTCTTCTGTTTTCTTCTTCCTGCCTGGAACTCAAACGCACCTCTTGCAAGTGCATTCATTCATTCATTAGACAAGTATTTATTAAGCACTCGTTACCTATATGTTCCAGGTAATGTTCTAAGTGCTGGGAATACAGCAATGAACAGAAAAGACAATCCGTGGCTGGGTGTGGTGACTCATGTCTGTAATCCCAGCACTTTGGGAGGCTTAGGCAGGTGGATCACTTGAGGCTAGCAGTTCAAGACCAGCTTAGCCAACATGACGAAACATCATCCCTACTAAAAATACCAAAAAAATTAGCTGGGCATGGTGGTGTGCACCTGTAATCCCAGCTACTTTGGAGAGCTGAGGCAGGAGAATCACTTGAACCCGGGAGGCAGAGGTTGCAGTGAGCCAAGATCGCTGCATTCTAGCCTGGGTGACAGAGTGAGACTGTCTCAAAAAAAAAAAAAAAAAAAGTCCCTGTCGTCATGGTGCCTACATTCTAGGGTTAGGAGAAAGACTTTAATCAAGAAAACATATTGCATGTTGGATAATGATAAGTGCTTTTTTTTTTCTTTTGTGACAGAGTCTTGCTCTGTCACCCCGGCTGGAGTGCAGTAGTGCAATCATAGCTCACTGCAACCTTGAACTTAAATGAGCACCTCCAGATGACTTCTTTTTTTTTCTTTCTCTTTCTTTCTTTTTTTTCTCCTTTTTTTTTTTTTTTTTTTTTTTTTTTTGAGATGTAGTCTCACTCTATTGCCCAGGCTGGAGTGCAGTGTGCGGTCTTGGCTCACTCCAACCTCCACCTCCTGGGTTCAAGCAATTCTCCTGCCTCAGCCTCCCGGGTAGCTGGGATTACAGGCTCACCTCACCACACCTGGCTAATTTTTGTATTTTTAGTAGAGATGGGGTTTCACCATATTGGCCAGGCTGGTCTCGAACTCCTGACTTTATGAGGAGCCTCAGCCTCCCGGGTAGCTGGGATTACAGGCATGAGCCACACGCCTGGCTGGTGATTCCTTCCTTTCTTTCTTTCTTTTTTTTTTTTGAGATAGAGTTTCGCTCTTGTTGCACAGGCTGGAGTGTAGTGGTAAGATCTTGGCTCACTGCAACCTCCACTTCCTCAGTTCAAGGGATTCTCCTGCCTCAGCCTCCCCAGTAGCTGGGAGCCGGGCTAATTTTTGTATATTTTTTTAGCAGAGACAGGGTTTCACAATGTTGGCCAGGCTGGTCTCAAACTTCTGACCTCAAAGTGAACTGTCTGCCTCGGCCTCCCAAAGTGCTGGGATTAAAGGCGTGAGCCACCGCAGCAAGCCCCCACCAGATGATTTCTATGAACACTCACTAATGTGTGAGAATCTCAGTCCCAGCCCTTTGTTATTCACAGCCATCCTCACAGCGGACCTGCTTTTCGACAGGCCCAGCGCTGGGGCCGGCTGTTTGTGTGACACCAGGATTGGGCTCCCGGGTAGTAGAGCACAAAGAGGGCACAAAGCCGCTCTAAGGCACCCCAGTGCTCAGCCACTTTTCCCTTCTTCACAACAGGGTGGGGGAGAGGCGGGGTGCTTCCCTCTTTGGGCTAGGAAACCAAAGTGATGATGATGATGATGATGATGATGATGATTGTTATTAATTTTGAGACAAGGTCTCCCTCTGTCACCCAGGCTGGAGTGCAGTGGAGCGATCATAGCTATAACCTCCAACTCCTGGGCTCAAGCGATCCTCCTACCTCAGCCTCCCAAGTAGCTGGGACTGAGGTGCATGCTACCATGCCCAACTAATTTTTGTATTTTTTGTAGAGATGGGGTCTTGCTATGTTGCTCAGGCTGGTCTCAAACTCCTGGCCTCAAGCAATCTCCCCATCTCAGCCTCCCAAAATGCTGGGGTGACAGGCATGATCTACCATGCTGGCCTAAAGTGATTATTTGTTAATATCCAAAGCTTTTATTTTGCAATAAGGAAAAGTAGGCCAAGAAAAGGAAAGTGATTCTGAAAAGTCACACAAATGGTTAGCAGGCGAGATGGGCCTGGAAGGCATGAGGACTGATGAGTCAGACACACTGTTTATGGTTTTTGTTGTGTGTTTATTTTATTTTACTTTATTGTTATTCTTTCTGAGATGAAGTCTTGCTCTGTTGCCCAGGCTGGAGTGCAATGGCGCAATCTCAGCTCACTGCAATTTCCACCTCCCGGGTTCAAGCGATTCTCCTGCCTCAGCTTCCGGAGTAGTTTAGATTACAGGCTCCTGCCACCACACCCAGCTAATTTTTGTATTTTTAGTAGATACTCGGTTTTACCATATTGGCCAGGCTGGTCTCAAACTCCCGACCTCAGGCAATCCACCCGCCTCGGCCTCCCAAAGTGCTAGGATTCCAGGTGTGAGCCACCACGCCTGGCCGGGTGTTTATTTTTAAAATAATTTAAAACTCACAGAACAGGGCTGGGTGCGGTGGCTCATGCCTGTAATCCCAGCACTTTGGGAGGCTGAGGCGGGCGGATCACAAGGTCAAGAGTTCAAGACCAGCCTGGCCAACATGGTGAAACCCCGTCTCTACTAAGAATACACAAATTAGCTGGGCGTGGTGGCGCGTGCCTGTAATCCCAGCTACTCCGGAGACTGAAGCAGGAGAATCGCTTGAACCTGGAGGCGGAGGTTGCAGTGAGCCAAGATCGTGCCACTGTACTCTAGCCTGGGCGACAGAGTGAGACTCCATTTCAAAAACAAATAAATAAATAAATAAAACTCACAGAACAGTTGCAAGAATCATACTGCACTAAGAACTTGCATATACTCTTCATCTAGAGACCTCATTCAAGTTTTGCCAACTATCCTAAGAATGACCTTTACAGCAAAAGGATCCAACTCAGGATCATAGGTTGCACTTAATTGTCATATCTCTTTAGTCTCCTATATAAAGTTCCGCAATACATTCTTCAGTATTACAGGCTAGTTAACCTGTAGACACTCTTTCAATCCAGGTTTGTCTACTGTCTCCTTATGATTAGATTCAGGTGGTGCACAGAACTAATGCTGTGGTCTTTTCACGGTATCCCATCAGGTGCCCGTGATGACATTGCCTTGAACCATTACTGGCAATGTTAACTTTCAGCACTTGATTAAGATGGTGTATGCCAGGATTCCCTATTATACAGTTACTATTTGTCTCTTTTAATTAATAAGCATTTTGTGAGGAGATACTATGAAACTATGTAAATATCCCCACTCATCCTCTGAATTTCACCCACTAGTTTTAACATTCATTGATGTTTCTTGCATGAATTAATTACTGCTATGATGATTGCCAAATGGTGGCTTTTAAATTCCGTTATTTTTTCTACACGTATTCATCGGCATTAACTTGTGAGAAGCAACTTTTTCTTTTCTTTCGTTTTTTTTTTGAGACACAGCCTCCCTCTGTTGCCCAGGCTGGAGTGTAGTGGCACGATCTCTGCTCACTGCAACCTCCGCCTCCTGGTTCAAGCAATTCTCCTGCCTCAGCCTCCCAACTGGCTGGGACTACAGGCACCAGCCACCACACCTGGCTAAGTTTTGCATTTTTAGTAGAGACGGGGTTTGCCATGTTGGCCAGGCTGGTCTTGAACTCCCGGCCTCAGGTGTTCTGCCCACCTCAGCCTCCCAAAGTGTTGGGATTACAGGCATGAGCCACGGCGCCTGGCAACAACTTTCTCTTCTCCTTATTTGTTAAAGAATTTATGGACTGGGCAGGGTGGCTCACATCTGTAATCCCAGCATTTTGGGAGGCCAAAGTGGGCAGATCACCTGAGGTCAGGAGTTTGACACCAGCCTGGCCAACATGGCAAAACCCTGTCTCTACTAAAAATACAAAAATTAGCCAGGCGTGGTGGTACACACCTGTAATCCCAGCTACTTGGGAGACTGAAACAGGAGAATCGCTTGAACCCGGGAGGCAGAGGTTGCAGTGAACCAAGATCGTGCCACTGTACTCTAATCTGAGCAACAGAGCAAGACTCCATCTCAAAATAATAATAATAATAATTTTTTTTTTGAGACGGTGTTTCACTCTTGTTGCCCAGCCTGGAGTGCAATGGCACGATCTTGGCTCACTGCAACCTCCGCCTCCAAGGTTCAAGCGATTCTCTTGCCTCAGCCTCCCGAGTAGCTGGGATTATAGGCATGAGCCACCATGCCCAGCTAATTTTGTATTTTTAGTAGAGATGGGGTTTCTCATATTGGTCAGGGTGGTCTCGAACTCCCAACCTCAGGTGATCCGCCCGCCTCGGCCTCCCAAAGTGCTGGGATTACAGGCATAAGCCATGGCGCCTGGCAATAATAATTTATATCAGTCGGGTGTGGTGGCTCATACCTGTAATCCCAGCACCCAGCACTTTGGGAGGCCGAGGTTGGTGGATCACCTGAGGTCAGGAGTTCAAGACCAGCGTGGTCAACATGGTGAAACCCCATCTCTACTAAAAATAAAAAAATTAGCTGGCTGTGGTGGCACAGGCCTGATATCCCAGCTACTCAGGAGGCTGAGGTGGGAGGATTGCCTCAGCCCATGAGGCCAAGGCTGCAGCAAGCTGTGATAGCACCACTACACTTTAGCCTGTGCCTTCTAGCCACAGCTGTATGCACTGGCCCTGTTCCTGTTCACAGTGCATGCTCTGTATTCCTTAGGCTCTGGTCTCTTTGCAAAGTCCAAGCGTCTCAGCCAGGAGCAGAGCCAAGGTTTGTGGGACTTGGGGGAAGGGGTAGCAGGGAGGGACTCTCATTAAGCTAAAGGATAAAAATTATGAAACAAAATTAGGCATATAACTGAGAAAAGACATGTTTTGAGAAAAAAAATGTAAGAAATATGCAGGCTGGGCATAGTGGCTCACATCTGTAATCTCAGCACTTTGGGAGGCTGAGGCGGGTAGATCACTTGAGACCAGGAGTTTGAGACCAGCCTGGCCAACATGATGAAACATGGTGTGGCGGCACATTCCTGTGGTCCCAGCTACTCAGGAGGCTGACGTGAGAAGATCACTTAAGACCAGAAGTTCGAGGCATCAGTGAGCTAGGATCAAACCACTGCACTCCAGCCTGGGCAACAGAGCGAGAATCTGGTTGTTTTTGTTGTTGTTTTTGTTTTTGTGATGGAGTCTCGCTCTGTTGCCCAAGCTGGAATGCAGTGGCATGATCTCGGTTCACTGCAACCTCCACTTCCCAGGTTCAAGCAATTGTCCTGCCTCAGCCTCCCAAGTAGCTGGGATCACAGGTGCCCGCCACCACGCCCAGCTAATTTTTTGTATTTTTAGTAGAGATGGGGTTTCTCCATGTCGGCCAGACTGGTCTCGCACTCCTGACCTCAGGTGATCCACCCGCCTCAGCCTCCCAAAGTGCTGAGATTACAGGCATGAGCCACTGCACCTGGCCGAGAACCTGTCTCTTAAAAAAAAAAATATATATATATACATATGTGTGTGTGTATATATATATGTGTGTATATATGTGTATATATATGTGTATATATATATATGTGTATATATGTGTGTGTTTGTATATATATATATATATTTTTTTTTATGTATATATAGAGAGAGGGGGGCATAGGCCAGACATGGTGGCTTATGCCTGTAATCCCAGTACTTCCAGAGGATGAGGTGGGCAAATTGCTTGAGCTCAGGAGTTGGAAACTAGCCTGGGCAAGATGGCAATACCCAGTCTCCACAAAAAATACAAAAATTAGCCAGGTGTGGTCGTGTGTCCGGAATTGGTGGGTTCTTGGTCTCACTGACTTCAAGAATGAAGCCGTGGACCCTCGCGGTGAGTGTTACAGTTCTTAAAGGCGGCGTGTTCGCAGTTTGTTCCTTCTGATGTTCGGATGTGTTCGGAGTTTCTTCCTTCTGGTGGGTTTGTGGTTTCGCTGGCTCAGGAGTGAAGCTGCAGACTTTCGCAGTGAGTGTTACAGCACTTAAAGCCGCGCGTCTGGAGTTGTTCGTTCCTCCGGATGGGTTCGTGGTCTCCCTGGCTTCAGGGGTGAAGCTGCAGACTTTCGCGGTGAGTGTTACAGCTCATAAAGGCAGTGTGGACCCAAAGAGTGAGCAGCAGCAAGATTTATTGCAAAGAGAGAAAGAACAAAGCTTCCACAGCATGGAAGGGGGCCCAAGCACTTGCCACTGCTGGCTTGGGCAGCCTGCTTTTATTCTCTTATCTGGCCCCACCACATCCTGCTGATTGGTAGAGCCAAGTAGTCTGTTTTGACAGGGCGCTGATTGGTGCGTTTACAATCCCTGAGCTAGACACAAAAGTTCTCCATGTCCCCACCAGATTAGCTAGATACAGAGTGTGGACACAAAGGTTCTCCAAGTCCCCACCAGAGTAGCTAGATACAGAGTGTGGATTGGTGCATTCACAAACCCTGAGCTAGACACAGGGTGCTGATTGGTGTGTTTACAAACCTTGAGCTAGATACAGAGTGCCGATTGGTGTATTTACAATCCCTGAGCTAGATTTATGTCTACATAAAGGTTCTCCAAGTCCCCACCAGAGTAACTAGATACAGTGTGGATTGGTGCATTCACAAACTCTGAGCTAGACACAGGGTGCTGATTGGTGTGTTTACAAACCTTGAGCTAGATACAGAGTGCCGACTGGTGTATTTACAATCCCTTAGCTAGACATAAAAGTTCTCCACGTCCCCACCAGACCCAGGAGCCCAGCTGGCTTCACCCAGTGGATCCCCCACGGGGGCTGCAGGTGGAGCTGCCTGCCAGTCCCGCGCCGTGTGCCTGCACTCCTCAGCCCTTGGATGGTCGATGGGACTGGGCGCCGTGGAGCAGGAGGCGGCGCTCATCGGGGAGGCTCGGGCCGCACAGGAGCCCACGGAGTGGCGGGGAGGCTCAGGCATGGTGGGCTGCAGGTCCCGAGCCCTGCCCGGCGGGAAGGCAGCTAAGGCCCGGTGAGAAATTGAGCACAGCAGCTGCTGGCCCAGGTGCTAAGCCTCTCATTGCTCGGGCCGGCAGGGCCAGCCGGCCGGCTGCTCTGAGTGCAGGGTCCGCCGGGGCCACGCCCACCCGGAACTCGCGCTGGCCCGCAAGCACCGCGTACAGCCCCGGTTCCCGCCCGCGCCTCTCCCTCCACACCTCCCCGCAAGCTGAGGGTGCTGGCTCCGGCTTTGGCCAGCCCAGAAAGGGGCTCCCACAGTGCAGTGGCGGGCTGAAGGGCTCCTCAAGTGCCGCCAAAGTGGGAGCCCAGGCAGAGGAGGCGCCGAGAGCGAGCGAGGGCTGCGAGGACTGCCAGCACGCTGTCACCTCTCAGTAGCACCCATCTGTGGTCCCAGCTAATTGGGAGGCTGAGGTGGGAGGATCATTTGAGCCTGGGAGGTCGGGCTACAGTGAATCATGATTGTGCCACTGCACTCTAGCCTGGGAAACAGCTAGACCCTGTCTCAATAATAATAATAATAATAATTGTAAGATATGCCAAGTCAAAAATTTTGAAATTAAAAAAAATATACCTATAAATACTAAAAAATATATTAAAACATAGTAAATTAAACAATACCCAGACAAATAATTTCAATATTTTGATTCGTGTATTTTTGGGACTATTAAGAATGGGTAGGCCAGGCGTGGTGCCTGATACCTGTAATCCCAGCACTTTGGGAGGCTGAGGCAGGTGGATCACTTGAGGTCAGGAGTTCAAGATCGGCCTGGCCAACAAGGTGAAACCCTGTCTCTACCAAAATACAAAAATTAGCTGGGCGTGGTGGCATGCGCCTGTAATCCCAGCTACTCGGGAGACTGAGGCAGGAGAATCGCTTGAACCCAGGAGGCAGAGGTTGCAATGAGCTGAGATTGTGCCATTGCACTCCAGCCTGGACAACAAAGCGAAATTCCATTAAAAAAAAAAAGCATAATGGCTGGGCACAGCTGTAATCCCAGCACTTAGATCACTTGAGGTCAGAAGTTCGAGTCCATCCTGGCCAACATGGTGAAACCCCGTCTCTACTAAAAATACAAAAAATTAGGCCAGGCGCGGTGTCTCACGCCTGTAATCCCAGCACTTTGGGAGGCCGAGGTGGGTGGATCACCTGAGGTCAGGAGGTTGACACCAGCCTGACCAACATGGTGAAACCCCCATCTCTACTAAAAATACAAAAATTAGCCGGGCATGGTGGTGTGCGCCTGTAATTCCAGCTACTCAGGAGACTGAGACAGGAGAATCACTTGAACCCGGGAGGCGGAAGTTGCAGTGAGCTGAGATGGTGCCACTGCACTCCACCCCGGGCGACAGAGCAAGACTCCATCTCAAACAACAACAATAACAACAACAAAAATTAGCTGGGCGTGGTGGTGTGCGCCTAATTCTAGCTACTAGGGAGGCTGAGGTGGGAGAATTGCTTGAACCAGGAAGGTGGAGGTTGAAGTGAGCCGAGATCACACCACTGCACTCCAGCCTGGGCAACAGAGCGAGCGAGACTCCATCTCAAAAAAAAAAAAAAACTTCAGTTGTGCAACTTGGCTAGTTTTATATTGTGCTATTTAAGATATATAACGCATACGTATACAAGGGGGAGAGAGAATAAATGGGTTTGCAGGAAAGCGATAAAGAAAGAAAGACATAAGTGAGAAACCTATCCTGAGACATCACCTAGAAAATGGCATTCCGAGGCCGGGCGCGGTGGCTCACTCCTGTAATCCCAGCACTTTGAGAGGCTGAGGCAGGCGGATCACATGAGCCCAGGAGTTTGAGACCAGCCTGGGCAACACGGTAAGACCCCCATCTCTATAAAAACATTAAAGTAAATTAGCCGGACGTGGTGGCACATGCGCCTGTGGTCCCACAGTACTGGACCACCACACTCCAGCCTGGGCAACAGAGCAAGACCCTGTGAAAGAAAGGAAGAAAGAAAGAAAACAGTATTCAGAAAGGAAATGCGCAGGGAGAAATACAGTGGCTGAGAGAGACTGAGAAGAGGCTCAGCAGGAGGCTCATTACACTCCACAGACCTCCAGGGCCCCGGCAGGAAAGCAAGTTAAAACCGACCTTGGAATCCTCTTGGCTGGTGGAAGGATTTCAGTGTCATCTCTGCAAAGAAAAAAGCAGATTTTCTGCTTTTATTATTGTTTAATTTTTGAAACTTGTGCTAAAACAATGGTTTATTTCCCCAGGGGAATTCTAAACATCTTGCTAGCCTTCCACGAGATGACTTGTGTTTGAAATATTTTCTTCCACACCTAACCAGCATCGTCAGTTGAGCAGTGTGACAGCTTCCTTTGATGTGCAAAAGCAGGCTGCTTGGCTCGTCTTTGTTACTGCAGAGATCAGGGCTGTCATCTGCCACAGTTTTGACAATTTACAGTTGTTTGTGGCCCTTTCCCCTTGTCAAATTAAACACATATGTTGATTGCCTTTGGTTGCAGTAGGGATGAAATACCGTGGAAATAATAAAAACACTTCCCTGAAATAGACTTAAAGGAATAACTTGCTTATAGCCCTCAGTGCCCTAGGAAGAGTTGCTCGTCACTCCCAGCACTCACAATTCACCTCTCCCAGCAACCAGAGCCCCTGGAGACCAACCAACCCCTGCCACCTCCCAAGAGAATTTCCGAGCTCTGGAGCCACCCCCACTCAATTTGCTTTACAAAGGGAAAATAACTCTTAGCAAGCCGTTGGAAACCTGCATTGTATCTGGAAAAAAAGGGAAAGGGTAGGAGTGAAATATTTAATAAGTGAGCTAGAGGGTGGAGGGGAATATTATATCCCAAAAAATTCAAGTAACACAGGCACACCCACCCACCCACACCTATACAAAACCACTGTTACCAACGAGACAATGGAATCCAGTTTGGAGAATAATTGACGATATTCTTCACTTTATCAGTAAAGTGAAGGATTATAATCATGCATTTCAGAAAGGAAGGGGGCTTCATTCATTCATTCATTCATTCAATGACTGTTAGCTGAATACCTACAATGTGCAAGATGTTATGCTAAATGTTGTTCTCATTAGCAAGCCCTCACTGCTGCGGAACCGACCATTTCTCACCATGTCCATTGCTACTTCCCCTCCCCTCATCAAATCTTGCCCAGGATACTGCAAGAGCCTCCTAACTGGTCTCTCAGTTTCTCTGGTTGCTTTCACATACACCCTGCCACCCTCAACACCACCATCCTCCATGGTACACTCTCCACACAATAGCCAGAAAGATATTTTATAGCAAATAATTCATATTTAAAATGTAAAATAAAGCCGGGTGTAGTGGCTCATGCCTGTAATCTCAGCACTTTGGAAGGCCGAGGCGGGCGGATCACTTGAGGTCAGGAGTTGGAAATCAGCCTGGCCAACATGGCGAAATCCCATCTCTGCAAAAAATACAAAACTTGGCCAGTTGGGGTGGGGGGGCCTGTAATCCCAGCTACTCAGGAGGTTGAGGCAGGAGAATCACTTGAACCCGGAAGTAGAGGTTGCAGTGAGCTGAGATCGGGCCACTGAACTCCAGCCTGGGCAACAGAGCAAGACTCCGTTTCAAAAAAAAAAAAAAAAGTAAAATAAGAACACAATGGTTCATGCCTGTAATCTGAGCATTTTGGGAGGCCACGGCAGGAGGATTGCTTGAGCCCAGGAGTTCAAGACCAGCCTGGGCAACATGGCGAGACCCTGTCTCTACAAAAAAATACAAAAAATTAGCCAGGCATGGTGGCATGTGCCTGTAGTCCCAGACACTCAGGAGGCTGTGGTGGGAGGATCACTTGAGCCCAGGAGGTAGAGGCTACAGTGAGCTGTGATTATGCCACCCTACTCCAGCCTGGGCAACAGAGCAAGACCTTGCCTCAAAAATAAATTAATAATAAATAAATAAAATGTAAAATAAGGTCATATGTGTGCCCTGCTTAAAACCCTCCAGTGGTCTTACATTGTACCGTAAAAGCTCAATTCTACCTCTACCTCTACCTCTACCTCTACCCCTACCCCTACCCCTACCCCTACCCCTACCCCTACCTCTAGTCTACGTCTACCGCTACCGCTACCTCTACCTCTACCTCTCCCATGCCGAGCCGAAGCTGGACTGTACTGCTGCCATCTCGGCTCACTGCAACCTCCCTGCCTGATTCTCCTGCCTCAGCCTGCCGAGTGCGTGCAATTGCAGGCGCGCGCCGCCACGCCTGACTGGTTTTCGTATTTTTTTGGTGGAGACGGGGTTTCGCTGTGTTGGCCGGGCTGGTCTCCAGCTCCTAACCGCGAGTGATCCGCCAGCCTCGGCCTCCCGGGGTGCCGGGATTGCAGACGGAGTCTGGTTCACTCAGTGCTCAATGGTGCCCAGGCTGGAGTGCAGTGGCGTGATCTCGGCTCCCTACAACCTCCACCTCCCAGCCGCCTGCCTTGGCCTCCTAAAGTGCCGAGATTGCAGCCTCTGCCCGGCTGCCACCCCGTCTGGGAAGTGAGGAGCGTCTCTGCCTGGCCGCCCATCGTCTGGAACGTGAGGAGCCCCTCTGCCTGGCTGCTCAGTCTGGAAAGTGAGGAGCATCTCTGCCCGGCCGCCATCCCATCTAGGAAGTGACGAGCGCCTCTTCCCGGTCGCCATCCCATCTAGGAAGTGAGGAGCGTCTCTGCCCGGCCGCCCATCGTCTGAGATGCGGGGAGAGCCTCTGCCCCGCTGCCCCGCCTGGGATGTGAGGAGCGCCTCTACCCGGCCGCAACCCCGTCTGGGAGGTGAGGAGCGTCTCTGCCCGGCCGCCATCCCATCTAGGAAGTGACGAGCGCCTCTACCCGGCCGCGACCCCGTCTGGGAGGTGAGGAGCGTCTCTGCCCGGCTGCCCCATCTGAGAAGTGAGGAGACCCTCCGCCTGGCAACCGCCCGTCTGAGAAGTGAGGAGCCCCTCCGCCCGGCAGTCACCCCGTCTGGGAAGTGAGGAGCGTCTCCGCCCAGCAGCCACCCCGTCCGGGAGGGAGGTGGGGGTCAGCCCCCGCCAGGCCAGCCGCCCCGTCCGGGAGGGAGGTGGGGGGGTCAGCCCCCCGCCCGGCCAGCCGCCCCGTCCGGGAGGTGAGGGGCGCCTCTGCCCGGCCGCCCCTACTGGGAAGTGAGGAGCCCCTCTGCCCGGCCAGCCGCCCCGTCCGGGAGGGAGGTGGGGGGGTCAGCCCCCCGCCCGGCCAGCCGCCCCATCCAGGAGGGAGGTGGGGGGATCAGCCCCCTGCCCGGCCAGCCGCCCCGTCCGGGAGGGAGGTGGGGGGGTCAGCCCCCTGCCCGGCCAGCCGCCCCGTCTGGGAGGGAGGTGGGGGGGTCAGCCCCCCGCCCGGCCAGCCACCCCGTCTGGGAGGTGAGGGGCGCCTCTGCCCGGCCGCCCCTACTGGGAAGTGAGGAGCCCCTCTGCCCGGCCAGCCGCCCCGTCTGGGAGGTGTACCCAACAGCTCATTGAGAACGGGCCATGATGACAATGGCGGTTTTGTGGAATAGAAAGGGGGGAAAGGTGGGGAAAAGATTGAGAAATCGGATGGTTGCTGTGTCTGTGTAGAAAGAGGTAGACATGGGAGACTTTTCATTTTGTTCTGTACTAAGAAAAATTCTTATCCTGTTGATCTGTGACCTTACCCCCAACCCTGTGCTCTCTGAATCATGTGCTGTGTCCACTCAGGGTTAAATGGATTAAGGGCGGTGCAAGATGTGCTTTGTTAAACAGATGCTTGAAGGCAGCATGCTCGTTAAGGGTCATCACCACTCCCTAATCTCAAGTACCCAGGGACACAAACACTGCGGAAGGCCGCAGGGTCCTCTGCCTAGGAAAACCAGAGACCTTTGTTCACTTGTTTATCTGCTGACCTTCCCTCCACTATTGTCCTATGACCGTGCCAAATCCCCCTCTGTGAGAAACACCCAAGAATAATCAATAAAAATAAATAAATAAATAAACAAACAAATAAATAAATAAAAAGCTCAATTTTTACAGTGGCCTACAAGATTTTCCACGATCAGATTTCTTTCTACTTTTTTTTTTCTTTTTAGACAGGGTCTCACTCTGTCACCCAGGTTGGAGTGCTGTGGTGCAATGATGGCTCACTGCAGCCCCCAACTCCTGGGCTCAAGGAGGCTCCAGTGATCCTCCTGCCTCAGTCCCCAAGTAGCTGGGACTACAGGCACGTGCCATCATACCCAGCTAATTTTTAAATTTTTCTTTTGTAGAGATGGGGTTGCCTCTCTTGAAGGTTGCAGTGAGCTGAGATCGCGCCATTGCACTCCAGCCTGGGCAACAAGAGTGAAACTCCATCTAAAAGAAAAAAAGAGATGGGAGTCTCTCTATGTTGCCCAGGCTGGCTTCAAACTCCTGGCTTCAAGCAACTCTCCTCCCTTGGCCTCCCAAATTGCTAGGATTACAGGTGTCAGCCACGTACCTGGCCCTTTTCTTTTTCTATGACAATCTTGTGTTACCCTTTGCTCTTCAGAATACGGGGCTGGGCGCAGTGGCTCATGCCTGTAATCCCAGCACTTTGGGAGGCCAAGGCGGATGGATCACCTGAGGTCAGATGTTCGAGAACAGCCTGACCAATGTGGTGAAACCCCATCTCTACTAAAAATACAAAATTAGCTAGGTATGGTGGTACATGCCTGTAATCCCAGCTACTTAGGAGGCTGAGGCAGGAGAATTGCTTGAACCCGGGAGGTAGAGGTTGCAGTGAGCCGAGATTGTACCATTGTACTTCAGCCTGGGCAACAAGAGCGAAACTCCATCTCAAAAACAAAACAAAACAAAGCCTCTGCAGCTGTCCTGGCACTTTGAATGTCTTATTTTGTTTCTTAAATATGCTGTGCTTGTTTTCTGCTTACGGCTTTTGCACTTGCTATGTCCTTTCCTTTTTTTTTTTTTTTTTTTTTTTTTGAGATGGAGTCTCACACTGTTGCCCGGGCTGAAGTACAGTGATGAGATCTCAGCTCACTGCAACCTCTGCCTCCCAGGTTCAAGCAATTCTCCTGCCTCAGCCTCCTGAGTAGCTGGGATTACAGGCACCCGCCACCACGCCCAGCTAATTTTTTGTGTTTTTAGTAGAGATGGGGTTTCACTATGTTGGCCAGGCTGGTCTGGAACTCCTGACCTTGTGATCTGCCTGCCTTGGCCTCCCAAAGTGCTGGGATTACAGGTGTGAGCTACTGCACCCAGTCTTTTTTCTTTCTTTCTTTCTTTTTTTTTTTTTTCCTGAGACAGAGTCTCGCTCTGTCATTCAGGCTGGAGTGCAGTGGCATGATCTCAGCTCACTGCAATCTCTGCCTCCTGGGTTTAAGCGATTCTCCTGCCTCGGCCTCCTGAGTAGCTGGGACTACAGGTGTGCACCACCACGCCCAGCTAATTTTTGTATTTTTAGTAGAGATGGGGTTTTGCCATGTTAGCCAGGCTAGTCTCGAACTCCTGGCCTCAGGGGATCTGCCTGCCTCAGCCTCCCAAAGGGTTGAGATTACAGGCGTGAGCCACCGCACCCGGCCACTTGCTATGTCCTTTTCATAGAATGCCCTTCCCTCAGATTTTTAGGTGGCCTGCTCAGATCAAATGTCGCCTCAGAGAGTCTTTCCCTGGCTACCCGACCTAAAGTAGCTATCCACCACCAGATCACTTCCTATTCTGTTACCCTATTTGATTTTCTGAAAGCATAGCACTTACCTGTGTCTGAAGATATTTTACTTACTTGATTGTTTACCTTAGTAGCTCTCAATGTGTGGTCCTGGGACCAGCAGTATTAGCATCACCTGGGAACTTGTTCTAACTGCATATTCTCAGGCCCTACTCTAGACCTATTGAATCAGAAATTGTGAACATGGGATCCAAAGATCTGTGTGTAACAAATTCTCCACATGATGTTGATGAAAATTAAAGTTTGGCAGCCACTGGCACTCTTAGTCCATTTTATTTTTCTTTTCTTTTTTTTCCTTTTTTTTTTGAGACGGAGTCTTACTCGGTCACCCACGCTGGAGTGCAGTGGCGCGATCTCTCTCCCCGCAACCTCTGCCTCCTGGATTCAAGCTATTCTGCCTCAGTCTCCCGAGTGGCTGGGATTATAGGCACACACCACCACGCCCAGCTAATTTTATTTTTTGGGGGGGACAGAGTCTCACTCTGTCACCCAGGCTGGAGTGTAGTGGCACAATCCCAGCTTACTGAAGCTCCGCCTCCCGGGTTCACGCCATTCTCCTGCCTCAGCCTCCCGAGTAGCTGGAACTACATGGTAGCCACCACCATGCCCAGCTAATTTTTTTGTATTTTTAGTAGAGACGGGGTTTCACTGTGTTAGCCAGGATGGTCTCGATCTCCTGACCTCGTGATCTGCCCACCTCGGCTTCCCAAAGTGCTGGGATTACAGGCGTGAGCCACTGTGCCCAGCCTAATTTTTGTATTTTTAGTAGAGATGGGGTTTCACCATATTGGCCATGGCTGGTTTCAATCTCCTGACCTTGTGATCCGCCCACCTCGGCCTCCCCAAGTGCTAGGATTACAGCCATGAGCCACTCTTAGTCCATTTGCTGCTGTGACATCAGAATACCACAGACTGGGTAATTTATAAAAAATAGATGTTTACGTGGCTCAGTTCTAGAGACTGGGAAGTCTAAAAGCATGGCACTGACATTTGAAGAGGGTCACCCCATGGCAGAAGGCAGAAGGGCAAGTGAACATGTGAAACGGACAGTGCAGAAATTGGGCCACACTTTTCCTTTTTATCAAGAGTCCACTCCCATGATAAGTAACCCGCTTCCTCAATAATAGCATTAATTCATGCATGAGGGGAGAGCACTCCTCACCTGATAATCACCTCTGAAAGGCCCTACCTCTTAATATTGTTACAATAATAATTAAGTTTTCAACACATGAACTTCTGGAGGACACATTCAAACCATAGCAGTGGTTTACAGTGATTATTTCTTCTCTCTCTCATGACTGCCCTAGAATGTAAACTCCAAGAAAATTGAAGTCATCTGTCTTGTTCAGTACAGTCCCTCCAACGCCACACAGCAGGCACTCTAAAAATCGTTGTATGGAGGAAAATTGAGAGACTGATGAATGATCGAGCAACTGCTCTGGGATCTGTGTCAGACAGTCCAATAAAACTGAGTCCCAGGGACCTGTCTACCACCTTTCCACCACAGTCTGGCTATGTTGCCTAGGATGGAGTACAATGGTTATTGACAGGCACAAACAGAGTGCACTATAGCCTCAAACTTGAACTCCTGGGCTCAAGCAATCCTCCCACCTTAGCCTGTGAAATAGCAGAGACTAGGCCAGGCGTGGTGGCTCAGACCTGTAATCCCAGCACTTTGGGAGGCCAAGGTGGGCGAATCACCTGAGGTCAGGAGTTCGAGACCAGCCTGGCCAGCATGGTGAAACCCCATCTCTACCAAACACACAAACATTTGTCAGGTGTGGTGGCTCATGCTGGTAATCCCAGCTACTCAGGAGGCTGAGGCAGGAGAATCGCTTGAACCTGGGAGGTGGTGGTTGCAGTGAGCCAAGATGGCGCAACTGCACTCCAGCCTGGATGACAGAGCAAGACTCTGCCTCAAAAAAAAAAAAAAAAAAATAGCAGAGACTACAGGCATGTGCCACTGGCCCCACCAGAGCTTTTATCTGTGTAACAGATTTTCCAGGCAGATAAAACTGAGGAAGGGGTTCTGATGTAAAAGAAACACTTGAAAACTATGATTTAAACTGTTATTAATTAAAGTTTGGAAACTGCAAGCACATTCCAAGGTCCTCCTCAGAGAACCAGAAGGTTTGTGGATTGTATTCAATTAGAGGATAAGGACAATTTTTTTTTTCTTTTAAATTCTGGACAGCTCTTACTACATTAATACCAGAGTGACTGCTGACTGACAAAGTGGCTTTCTCTTTCTCAGTCTTTCTGCTTTATATCAATCCTGGGATCTTAAAAAAGAAAAAAACAACAACAAAAACACCACCTCTGAACCAATTAATTCTGCCTCCAGTGGCTTCTAAAAGCTTTCAGATTGAAAACATTGGGTCAACTCCCAGCTCAAATAGGAAAAGTGGAGACGACATTATCTTTGCAAAAGACATTGAATTTTAGAAAAGGATAAATCAACACCAAGAACAACATAAGAGGCCGTGGGAGCCCCTCCTTAGAAATAATATGTTGGCTTGAAGCAAATAGTGTGGGCCAGGCACCATGCTAGGTACCTGGGGTTCTCAAAGGCCACAAGAATATGGCTCAAGTCTCCAAGGAGCTCACAATCTGGAGAACAGATAAACATATACACAAATACCCAGCGCAGAGTGCAGAGTGCTAGTGCTGTAGGAATGAGTAACTCCTGAGTTTTGCCAGGGAAAGATTCCTGGAGGAGGTGATACTTGAACAGATCTGGAAGGCTGTGTCTTGTCAGTTAGGCATGAACGGAAGGACAATCTAGGCAGAAGGGATGACAAATTGAAAAGCACAGAGATGTAAAAGGGTAAGGATGGGTTCAAAAAATGGTTAAGAGAAGTGATGAATTTATATACACACATACACACATATATATAGTATATATATATATATCTATATAAATACACATTAGGAAAATTTGAATACTGACTGGCTATTTGATGAGATTAAGGAATTATTGTTAGTTTTAAAAGATATGTTAACGACATTGTGGTTATGTTGTAAGAGTCCTTATCTTTTGGAGATACATACTGAAATATTATTTCTGGGTAAAATGATGATTATCTGGAATTTGCTTCAATATAATATGGAGGGGGGCCAGGCATGGTGGCTCACTCCTGTAATCCCAGCAGTCTGGGAGGCTGAGACGGGCAGATCACCTGAGGTCAGGAATTTGAGACCAGCCTGGCCAACATGGTGAACCCCATCTCTACTAAAAATACAAAATTAGCTGGGCGTGCGCCTGTAATCCCAGCTACTTGAGAGGCTGAGGCAGAGAATCACCTGAGCCTAGGAGGTGGAGGCTGCAGTGAGCTGAGATTGAACCACTGTACTCCACCCTGGGCAACGGAGTGAGACTCCATCTAAAAAAAAAAATATATATATATATATATACGCACACACACACATACATACATATATATAATATAGAGGGGGCAGGAGAGGGCAGAGATAAAAATAAAATCAGGGTGGTCATGAATATATGAATACTTGTTGAAACTGGGTAATGCCCTCCAAGTGTGAAGTGACAGCCTTGTGTGTGATCTTTCTGCCTTCCCCAAGTTTGCATTTTTGACATTAAAGTTTACTTTTTAATTAAAAAAAAAAGAAACTGGGTAATGATATATGGGAAGTCATTATACTTTTTTTTTTTTTTTTTTTTTTTTGAGATGGAGTCTCGCCCTTTTGCCCAGGCTGGAGTGTGGTGGTGCAATCTCAGCTCACTGCAACTTCCACCTCCCAGGTTCAAGCAATTCTCCTGCTTCAGCCTCCCGAGTAGCTAGGACTACAGGCGCATGCCACCACACCTGGCTAATTTTTGTATTTTTAGTAGAGATGGGTTGGCCAGGCTGGTCTTGAACTCCTGACCTCAGGTGATCCACCTGCCTTGACCTCCCAAAGTGGTGGGATTAGAGACGTGAGCCACCATGCTTGGCCCATTATACTACTTTTTATACTTCTGTATGTAGTTGGGAATTTTTTTTTTTTTTTTTTTTGAGACGGAGTCTCACTCTGTTGTCCAGGCTGGAGTGCAGTGGTACAGTCTCGGCCCACTGCAACCTCCACCTCCCGGGTTCAGGTGATTCTCCTGCCTCAGCCTCCTGAGTAGCTGAGATTACAGGCGTGCACCACCATTCCCGGCTAATTTTTGTTATTTTTAGTAGAGATAGGATTTCATCATGTTAGCCAGGCTGGTCTCGAACAGCTGACCTCGTGATCCATCTGCCTTGACCTCCCAAAGTGCTGGCATTATAGGCATGAGCCACCGCGCCTGGCCTATATTTGGAACTTTTAATAAGGAAAGGTTGAGAGAGAGAGAAAGAGAAAGAGAAACACTGCCTAGAACAGTAGCTACCATTATAACAAGCATTCATTTTTTTTTCTGGCTTTCTTTGATGTGTCATTAGATTTGATCACCACACCACTCACAGACACAAGCTGGAGGGAAAAGCTGAGTGAGCCACCTGATGCTTTTCCTAGGCTGAGCCCTGCTTCCTGGTGGGTACTGTGTTACCCACAGTTTGAAGCAAAGACACAAGAGTAGCCTTTCACTATGGATTTGCACGGGAGGGGCTCTTGGCCCCCAAAATGTGCGCCGGTTTATCTCCCAGGAATTCTGAAGGCCAGCCTGACAGATGAGATATACTTGATAAGGGCTGAGCTGTGGCTCCAACCCTTAGACTCACAGAGGGCATAAAATTCAGCCTCCTCAGGGTTGACCTTTCTCTGTCTTAGTCTGTTCCTGCTGCTATAATAAAATACCATCAACTGGGTAATTTACAAATAATAGAAATTACTATTTCTATTAATTTCAGGCAACATGGAAAAACCCTATCTCCACAAAAAAATACAAAAGATTAACTGGGCGTGGTGCCGCGTGTGTCTGTAGTCCCAGTTACTCCAGAAGGTGGCTTGAGCCCAGGAAGCGGAGGTTGCAGTAAGCTGAGATAGCACCACTGCACTCCAGCCTGAGTAACAGAGAACCTGTCTCAAATAATGATGATGATGATGATGATGATGATAATAATAATAATAATAGAAATGTAGGCTGGGCACGGTGGCTCACGCCTGTAATCCCAGCACTTTGAGAGGCAGAGGTGGGCGGATCGCCTGAGGTCAGGAGTTCGAGACCAGGCTGACCAACATGGAGAAATCCCATCTCTACTAAAAACACAGAATTAGCTGGGCGTGGTGACACATGTCTGTAATTCCAGCTACTTGGGAGGCTGAGGCAGGAGAATCGTTTGAACCCGAAGGCAGAGGTTGCAGTGAGCTGAGATCACGCCATTGCACTCCAGCCTGGGCAACAAAAGTGAAAGTCCGTCTCAAAAAAAAAAAAAAAAAAAGAAAAGAAATGTATTGCTCACGGTTCTGGAGGCTGGGAAGTCTAAGATGAAGGCCTCCCAAAGTGTTAGCATTAAAGGCGTGAGCCACCATGCCCAGCCATAATGTCTCTTAAATTTGTGTGACATTTGGAAGTTTACAAAACATTTTCATTTGCCTTATCACATGCAGTCCTCATAACAAGCCTCCACATTAGTGATTAGTATTTTTTTCATTCCTCCCCCACCGACCCACCAAGGTCTAATAGCTACTCTGGGGCTTGAACTTAGGCTTTTTAACTCCCAGAATAAAGTTCCTCCCTAAATGTTTCAGTGAAGTATTGCTGTATGACAGGCTACCCCCAAAACTTTATTAGTTCTTATGGTTCTGTAGGTTGCCTAGGTGGTTCTTGTCTTGTCTGGAGTCACTCAGACAACTGCATTCAGCTACATGCTGGGGTGCCTCGCTTCCCCATGGCCTCTGCCTCTGGCTTGCTTGGACTTCCTCACAGCATGGCGATCTTAGGTTAGCTGGACTTCTTACATAGCAGCAGGCTTCCAAGAATGAAACTGGAAGCTATAGAGCCTTTTAAGACCTGGACGTAGGAGTCTCAGAACATCAATTCCACCATGTTCTGTTGGCTAAACCAATTCACAAGGCCAGCTTATATTTAAGCAGCGAGAAAAACAGATTCTCTTTTGATGAGAGGAGGGCAAGATATATTATAAAGAAGTATGAACACAGGGAGCCATTTTTCTCTCTTTTTAAAAAAACTTTAAGGCTGGGTGTGGTGATGAGGCTGAGCTACTTGGGAGGTTGAGGTGTGAGGATCACTTAAGCCCAGGAGTTTGAGTCTAGCCTGAGCAATATAGTGAGACCCATCTCTTGGGACAAAAAAAAGGATATATATCCTTTATATATATATATATATATATATATATATATAATAAATGTATGTATATGTATATATGTATATATAACATACATATATAAAACAGTTTTAGATATTCAGAACAATTGTGCAGATAGTTCAGAGAGTTCCCATATGCCACATTCAGTCCCCCCATATTAACATCTTATATTAGTATGGTGTATCTGTCGCAATGAATTAACCACATTGTGATTAACTAAAGGCCATACTTTATTCAAATTTCCTTAGATTTTACCTAATGTCTTTTTTGTGTTGCAGGATCCCATTCAGAATATTGCATTCCATATAGTTGGCACGCCTCCTTGGGCTCTTTTTGACTGTCACAGTTTCTCAGACTTTCTTTGTTTTTGATGACCTTCACAGTTTTGAGGGGTACTGGCCAGATATCTTTCTGGCCGGGTGTGGTGGCTCACGCCTATAATCTCAGCACTTTGGGAGGCCGAGGCAGGTGAATCACGAGGTCAGGAGTTTGAGACCAACCTGACCAACATGGTGAAACCCCATTTCTACTAAAAATTAGCCGGGCATGGTGGCAGGCGCCTGTAATCCCAGCTACTCAGGAGGCTGAGGCAGGAGAATTGCTTGAACCCAGGACGCAGAGGTTGCAGTGAACTGATATTGTGCCACTGCACTCTACACTGGGGGACAGAGTGAGACATTGTCTCAAAAAATAAATAAATAAATAAGTTGGGGTATTTACTATACACCAACTCCTTTTAGCTATTGGTGGAAAGTTCCTTCTGAGTACATTAACATCATGGTGATTGCAGTCTGCCTCAAGTGTGGGCTAAATATGTACCTATGGCCGGCTGGGTTCAGTGGCTCATGCCTGTAATCCCAACACTTTGGGAGGCTGAGGCGGGTGGATCACCTGAGGTTGGGAGTTGGAGACCAGCCTGACCAACATGGAGAAACCCCATCTCTACAAAAAAGGAAAATCAGCCGGCCATGGGTGGCCCATGCCTGTAATCCCAGCTACTCAGTAGACTGAGGCAGGAGAATCACAGGAGGCGGAGGTTGTGGTGAACCGAGATTGTGCCATTGCACTCCAGCCTGGGCAACAACAGTAAAACTCTGTCTCAAAAAAAAAAAAAAAGTACTTATGGCCACAGAAAGCCACCAGGCAAAGGATTATAGGTGCTGGCAGGAAAAAGGCATGAGAGTAAGGAGTCCTATGCCAAGGGAAGGTGTGCAGGGTACAATATACCTTGTTCCACTCTGATCTACTTGTATCCCACATTAAGTCCATTATGTTACTGACTCTTCAAGGTGGTAGCCAGTGACAATATCTAAACAAAATTAATAGAGGTGAGTTAATGGAAGTAGTCTCCAGGATGATCTTGTGACTTGCTCTGACCAGTAAAAATGGCAGAAGTGATATTGTAACAGCTTTAGAGCCTGGGCCTTGAGATGCCTTGCAGCCTCCACATAAGGATAATGTGCAGATCGCCACATGAGGAAGCAGGACTAGCCTCGTAAAGGATAAAAGGCAATGTGGAGGAATACCAAAGTGGGCCGGGTGTGGTGGCTCACGCCTGTAATCCCAGCACTTTGGGAGGCCAAGGCGGGAGGATCACTTGAGGCCAGGAGTTCAAGATCAGCCTGGCCAACATGGTAAAACCCCATCTCTACTAAAAATACAAAAATTAGCTGGGTGTGATGGCATGTGTCTATAATCCCAGCTACTTGGGAGGCTGAGGCAGGAGAATCATTTGAACCCTGGAGTTAGAGGTTGCTGTGAGCTGAGATTGTGCCACTGCACTCCAGCCTGGGCAACAGAGCGAGACTCCGCTGAAAAAAAAAGAGTCCCAAGCCAACAGCCAGCGTCAACTGCAAGACATGCGAGCAATACCAGCTTGGACCTCTCAGCATAGCCACTCTGCAGTTGAATGCAGCAGCTCCATGAGTGAGCCAAGACAAGACCAAAGGGGAACCACCCAGCCCACCCACAGAATCATGAGAAATAACAAATCGTTGGTGTCTTAAGCCACAGGATTTTGGAGTGGTTTGTTACCAGCAATAGGCAACTGAAATGCATATATTAATAATATACACCAACTCCAGTCAATCATTGTTTGGCAGTCGCTCCTGGGGACGTGAAAACCCTGGCTTTTCTGGTCTGCCCTGCTCATGAGTCAAGCCTGCTCCAGTGATCAGGGAAAACTCCCAGGCAGAGAGTCCCAGACACTTGCAGGAAGAAGCTGTCAGCATATATAGAAACAGCGAGTGCTGGGCGGATACAACAGGGGACAGCAGCATTTGCTACAACGTCAGAACCTTTTTCTCCGATTTATAAATATTATGTGGGGTGGAGGTGGGGGAGATGGAAAGGAGGTTTTTGTGAGGAAGCAAGAATTTTGGAGTGGATGGTGCCTCTGAGAGGCAATACCACCTAGGGGAAGAGTTTGCAGAACACAGAGGTGGGGCTATCAGAGACTCTGAAATTGGGGGCCTACCTTTTTTTTTTTGAGACTGAGTCTCCCTTTGTCACTCAGGCTGGAATGCAGTGGCACAATCTCAGCTCACTGCAACCTCTGCCTCCTGAGTTCAAGCAATTCTTGTGCCTTAGCCTCCTGAGTAGCCAGGATTACTGGCGTGCACCACCACGTGCGGCTAATTTTTGTATTTTTAGTAGACACAGGGTTTCACCATGTTGGTCAGGCTGGTCTTGAACTCCTGGCCTCAGGTGATGTACCCGCCTCGGCCTCCCAAAGTGCTAGGAATTACAGGCGTAAGCCGCCATGCCCAGTGGGGGCCTTCCTTATTCATCTCAACCTTTGGAACTGTCTAAGCGCTGCTGTCAGACTCTGTGCCTAGAATCCCACACATTGCTTGCTCTCGGGTTCCTCGCCATTGCCTGTTGCCCTCTGGTTGGTGTACCCACTTATCCCTTGCTGAACTCCTCACTAGCCTCCTGCCAACCAGTTGTCATTCTCACCTCTCAGCACCTAGCTGTCTCCCAGCCCCTCTTCCCCAGGTCCCCAGTGATAAAACATCCTATCCTTAAGCCTTTCTCCAGATCCTGTTCTGTTCAACTCTCATTCATTCTGCTTTTCTGCTCCATAAGAAGTGCTTTTCTGATATCACAACTATTAAACCTTAAGGAGGTTCAAAAAGGGGTTTGTCTAAAAAGATCTCATCAGTGAGATGAAATTACAGGAAATCTCAGGTGTGATTTTTTCCATTACTGCATTGTGAAGGAGATTATATTTAAAGTTGTAATAGATGTGATATCCTAGGCTGCAGAGTTGTTCCCAGGTACCAAATGTTGTGAATTAACATTTTAAAACATCTTAGAAGTTTACCAGCAGACATCTTTATTTTGTCTGAGCACTGAAAAAGCTAGAGAAGCACATTTCGTGTATATACTAAAATGAAACAAGTTCCTGTATTTGGAATACAAGGAACTAGTTCTACAAAGGACTGATCAAAGAAATTCACTTCCAAGCTGGGTGCAGTGGCTCATGCCTGTAATCCCAGTACTTTGGGAGGCTGAGGTGGGAGGATTCCTTGAGCTCAGGAATTCAAGGCCAGCCTGGGCAACAAAGTAATGCCTTGTCTCTACAAAAATTATAAAAAATTAAGGCCGGGCACGGTGGCTCACGCCTGTAATCCCACCATTTTGGGAGGCCGAGGCGGGTGGATCACAAGGTCAGGAGTTCGAGACCAGCCTGGCCAATATGGTGAAACCCTGTCTCTACTAAAAATACAAAATTTAGCTTGGCGTGGTAGCGGGCGCCAGTAGTCCCAGCTTCTCGGGATGCTGAGGTAGGAGAATTGCTTGAACACGGGAGGCGGAAGTTGCAGTGAGCTGAGATTGTGCCACTGCACTCTAGCTTGGGAGACAAAGCAAGAGTCTGTCTCAAAAAATATATATAAAAAATTAGCAGGCATGGTGGTGCACGACTGTAGTCCCAACTACTCAGGAGGCTGAAGTGGGAGGATCTCTTGAGATTAGGACTTTGAGGTTGTCGTGAGCCAAGGTTACAACACTGCACTCCAGCCTGGGTGACATAGAGAGATCCTATTTCAAAAAAAAAGAAAAAAAAAAGATACTCACTTCCCGTTTATTAAGACCACAAGAACAAAAATCATAGCATTTTGCATTAAGTATGTAAAAACACCCAGGTTAAAAATATCCAGAAGCAGGCAGGGTGCGGTGGCTCACCCCTGTAGTCCCAGCATTTTGGGAGGCTGAAGTGGGTGGACTGCTTGAGGCCAGGAGTTCAAGACCAGCCTGGCCAACATGACAAAAACCTGTCTCTACTAAAAATACAAAAATTACGGCCAGGCGCGGTGGCTCACGCCTGTAATCCCAGCACTTTGGGAGGCCGAGGTGGGCAGATCACGAGGTCAGGAGATCGAGATCATCCTGGCTAACATGGTGAAACCCTGTCTCTACTAAAAATACAAAAAATAGCCGGGCGTGGTGGCAGGCGCCTGTAGTCCCAGCTACTTGGGAGGCTGAGGCAGGAGACTGGCGTGAACCCGGGAGGCGGAGCTTGCAGTGAGCCGAGATTGCGCCACTGCACTCCAGCCTGGGCGACAGCGAGACTCTGTCTCAAAAACAAACAAACAAACAAACAAAAAAACAAAAATTAAGGCCAGGTACAGTGGCTTATGCCTGTAATCCCAGCACTTTGGGAAGCCGAGGCGGGTGGATTACGAGGTCAGGAGTTCGAGACCAGCATGACCAATATGGTGAAACCCCGTCTCTACTAAAAATAAAAAAATTAGCCGGGCATGGTGGCACGCGCCTGTAGTTTCATCTACTCGGGAGGCTGAGGCAGGAGAATCACTTGAATCCGGGTGGTGGAGGTTGCAGTGAGCCGAGATCACACCACTGCACTCCAGCCTGGGCGACAGAGCAAGACTCTGTCTTCAGAAACAAACAACAACAACAAAAAATTAGGCCGGGCGCGGTGGTTCATGCCTGTAATCCCAGCACTTTGGGAGGCCAAGGCGGGTGGATCACAAGGTCAGGAGTTTGAGACAAGCCTGGCTAACATGGTGGAACCCCGTCTCTACTAAAAATACAAAAATTACCCAGGTGTGGTGGCACGTGCCTGTAATCCCAGCTACTCAGGAGGCTGAGGCAGGAAAATTGCTTGAACCCAGGAGGTTCAAGTGAGTGGAGGTTGCAGTGAGCCGAGATCGCGCCATTGCACTCCAGCGCTCCAGCCTGGGTGACAGAGTAAGACTCTGTCTCAAAAATAAATAAATAAATAAATAAATAAATAAATAAATAAATAAATAAGCTGGGTGTGGCGGCGCGTGCCTGTGGTCCCAACTACTTGGGAGGCTGAGGCATGAGAATTGCTTGAACCCAGGAGGCGGAGGTTGCAGTGAGCTGAGATTGCACCACTGCACTCCAGCCTGGGTGACAGAGCAAGATTCTGTAAAAAAAAATCAATAAAATAAAATAAAAATCCAGAAGCAAAAATCTCACTTTAGAAGAAAAAGTTAGTCTTAAATCTAAGATCAGAACACATAGCGTGTTATCTACCTTTCCTGAGTTGCAAATGGTAGCAAAAATAAATGGGTTGGTTTCCTCTCCTTCATTCTAATATTTTCTACATCTTGTGATAGTTAACATTTTTGAGCATCAGCTATGAATCCAAACCTCCCGTTCATTTTACCTAATCCTCAGAACATCTACTATGCCAATTAGTTCTAGTTTAAATTCAGGACCACACCTCTCAAAAGGACTGTCAACGCTGCCAAGCAGTCCCACTACACTTCCCCAATACATTCTTTCCTCCATTCTCCAAAGCAACTTTTTCACACATTCTCTCTCTCTGCAAATCTCCCACCTCCTCCTCCACTTCCTCAGTCCTGCCTACCTCTCCCACATCTTCCCAGATCCCTCTCCACTTCACTCCATTCTAGATCTTTGTTAGGTTCTGTTGACATTCCAAACTCTCTCCTCTGCCTTATGGCTTTTGAAACTCCCCTTCCCTCTCATTGGAATGCTCCACACCCTGATCCTTAGAGGGCTAGTTGCTTTTTGTCTTCCTTACTTCTGTCTCAGCTCAAATATCAAATTCTCAGAGAGGCTTTTCTTGTCATCTAACAATGCCTCCACCCAGTCATTGTCTTTCACATCAGCTTGTTTTACTGTCTTCCTAGAATTTATAAATATCCCATATTGTCTTGTCTATTTATTTCTCTCTCATCTCTACTTGAATAAAGCTCCATGACAGGCTGGGCACAGTGGCTCATGCCTATAATCCTAGCACTTTGGGAGGCCAAGGTGGGGAGGATCACTTGAGCCCAGGAGTTGGAGACCAGCCTGAGCAACAGGGCAATACCCTGTCTCAAAAAAAAAGAAAAAAAAAAAAGCAAGCTCCGTGACAGCAGGGCCTCCCTTACCCGATTTAATTCTGTATTCTCAACACCCAAGTCTGAGTCTGTCACATAATAGGCATACAAGAATAAAGATTTATTGGCCAGGCATGGTGGCTCATGCCTGTAATCCTAGCGCTCTGGGAAGCTGAAGAAGGCGGATCACCTAAGGTCAGGAGGTGGAAACCAGCCTGGTCAACATGGTGAAACCTCCGTCTCTACTAAAAATACAAAAAGTAGCCAGGCATGGTGGCATGTGTTCGTAGTCCCAGCTACTCTGGAAGCTGAAGCACAAGAATTGCCTGACCCTGGGAGGCAGAGGTTGCAGAGGGCGACTCCATCTCAAAAACAAAAAAAAAAGATTTATTAAGTAAATTATTCCCACACTGAAGATCAGAGAATCCAAATAAATTACATAAGTTCACTCAGCTAGTAAATAACAAAGTTGGAATAAACCTAAGTCTATTTAGGACCAGGCTATATCCCCATTTATATAAAAATGGATTTGGCCTCTGAAGAGTATTTGTGAATGTGAAGAGCATGTAAGACAACTTCAGGATGAATAGTCAAATTCCTCAGGCCAAAAACCAAGGAGATGCTGAGGACATCTGGCAGGACAAAGCCCGCAGTAACTAAGGAGCAGCATGGCCTGGCTGTTCCCAGCTTGCTCCTGGCTGGCCTCCAACTCCTCTGCCTTCCCTCCTGTTTCCTGCAGTCTCTGAACCTTTGGCCACGTGCACTACAGTACAGTTTCAGACAGCCTCTGATTTTCCCTTCATGCCCATCAGGCGAACTAGTTCATGTCTGCCAATAGCATTCAATAAGAATGCAGGAGGCCAGGCGTGGTGGCTCACACCTGTAATCCCTGAGCTTTGTTTGGGAGGCTGAGGCAGGCCAACTGCTTGAGCCCAGGAGTTCGAGATCGGCCTGGGCAACATAAGGAGACAAGATTTTTATAAAAAATACAATAATTAGCCCAGCATAGTGATGCACACCTGTAGTCCCAAGCTACCTGGGAGGCTGAGGTGGAAGGGTTGCTTGAACCTGGGAGGTCAAGGCTGCAGTGAGCCAAGATTGCACCACTGCACTACAGCCTGGGCAACAGAGGGAGACCTTGTTTTTTGTTTTTTTGGTTTTTTTTTTTGGGATGGAGTCTCACTCTTGTCATCCAGGCTGAGGTACAGTGGCATGATCTCAGCTCACTCAACCTCCAATTCCCGGGTTCAAGCGATTCTCCAGCCTTAGCCACCCAAGCTGGGATTACAGGTATGCGCCACCATGCTTGGATAATTTTTGTGTTTTTGGTAGAGAAGAGGTTTTGTCTGCTCTGTCACCCAGGCTGGAGAGACAGATCTCAAAAAAAAAAAAAAAAAAAGCAAGTATCACAAGATGCACTGCAAATACAATAATGAACATGGCAGACACTGTCCCTACACCTACTGCTTTGCAGTCTTTTTTTTTTTTTTTTTGAGATGGAGTCTCACTCTGTTGCCCAGACTGGAGTGCAGTGGTACAATCTTGGTTCACTGCAGCCTGCACTTCCCAGGTTCAAGCCATTCTCCTGCCTCAGCCTCCTGAGTAGCTGGGATTATAGGTGTGTGCCACCATGCCTGGCTAATGTTTGTATTTTTAGTAGAGACAGGGTTTCACCATGTTGGTCAGGCTGGTCTTGAACTCCTGACCTCATGATCCGCCCACCTTGGCCTCCCATAGTGCTAGGATTACAGGTGTGCGCCACCGCACCTGGCCACTGCTTTGCAGTCTTATACTCCTTTCTGGTCTTTGGTATTTGGCTTAAGGTTGAAAGATACTAAATTAATCTGTTTAATTGACTTGATTTGATTATTTCAAGGTCATCGTACTAGTTGGGAGAAATTGTCCCTAAAGGAAATGTTTCTTGAGAAGTTCCTCAATTTTCATGTCCTCATATAAATTGTCTGGTATATGCCAGGTAATCAGGAGTTAATTGCTTTCTTCTCTTTTCCTCTAGGCTTCTGCCGGCCAGGTCACCAAGTAAGCTAAATCTTGTTGCATTTAGTACAAAAATGGCCAGGTTTGGTGGCACATGCCTGTAATCTCAGGTATTCAAGAGGCTGAAGCAGGAGCATACTTGGGCCCAGGGGTTTCAGACCAGTCTGGGCAACATAGCAAGACCCCATCTCTAAAAAAGAAAAAAATTAATACAAAATTAAAGAGTAGAGGAATGATAACAGTTTAGTAGAGAAATGCTGACAGCCAGGTATTCAAACATTCTGCAGGAGGGAGGAAGAGAAGGTCTACTTCTGCCTTCTTTACTGTCCATGTATAATATATAAAATACAATAGCAGGCCAGCCGCAGTAGCTCACGTCTGTAATCCCAGCACTTTGGAAGGCCGAGGCAGGCAGATCACCTGAGGTCAAGAGTTTGAGACCAGCCTGGTCATTATGGCAAAACTCCATCTCTACTAAAAATACAAAAATTAGCTGGGCATGGTGGCACTTGCCTGTAATCCAAGCTACTTGGGAGGCTGAGGAACGACAATTGCTTGAACCCAAGAGGCAGAGGTTGCAGTGAGCCGAGACTGCACCACTGCATTCTAGCCTGGGTGACAGAACGAGACTCTGTCTCAAAAAACAAACAAACAACAGCAACCACAACAAAAATACAATAGCGAACATTTATCAATGGCTTACAATATACCAGGCACTATTCCAAACACTTTACATGTACTACCTCATCCAGACATCATCATAAACTTAGCAGAGGAAACCGAGATTTTTTTTTTTTTTTTTTGCCCAGGCTGGAGTGCAATGGCACGATCTTGGCTCACCGCAACCTCCGCCTCCCAGGTTCAAGCGATTCTCCTTCCTCAGCCTCCCTAGTAGCTGGGATTATAGGTATGTGCCACCAGCCCGGCTAATTTTGTAGTTTTAGTAGAGACGGGGTTTCTCCATGTTGGCCAGGCTGGCCTCGAACTCCGGACCTCAGGTGATCCGCCCGCCTCGGCCTTCCAAAGTGCTGGGATTACAAGCGTGAGCTACCGCGCCTGGCTGGAAACTGAGATTTAAAGAAGTTAGGTAAGGCCACGTGTGGTGGCTCATGCCTGTAACCTCAGTACTTTGGGAGGCCAAAATGGGAGGATCACTTGAGCCCAGGAGTTTGAGACCACCCTGGACAACATGATGAGACCTTGTCTCTACAAAAAATTAAAAAATTAGCCAGGTGTGGTAGCATAAACCTGTGGTCACAGCTACTTGGGAGACTGAAGTGGGAGAATTACTTGAGGCCAGGAGGTCGAGGCTGCAGTAAGCTGTGTTCACACCACAGCACTCCAGCCTGGGCAACAGAGTGAGACCCTGTATAAAATAAAATAAAGGAAGAAAGAAGCGGTTTGCCCAAGTTTTCGTAGGTAGAATATACTCACGTGGAGGAATTCCAGTCCAGGCAGTTGGATTCTAGCACCTCTTACTCTGTGTGGTCACTGCTATTGACCCATGGGAGATCAGATACAAGGACTTTGAATGGGGCCCACCTATAGCCTGTCTCCTGGTCATGACATAACTTAAGGCGGAAATGAGATGGTAAACTGGTCAAAGCTAAAGTCTGTGGCCAGGGCAGAGTTAATGAGGGCCTCAGCAGCCCTGTGCTCTGGCATATTCATACTATGCCACTTAATATTGCTTATTTATTTATTATTAAATAGGAGGCTGGTCTCAAACTTCTGAGCTCAAGCAATTCGTCTGCCTAAACCTCCCAAAGTGCTAAGATTACTGGTGTGAGCCATCGCATCCATCTAAATTGCGTTTTTTTCTTTTTTTTTTTCCGAGATGGAGTCTCCCTCTGTTGCCCAGGCTGGAGTGACGCGATCTCGGCTCACTGCAACCTCTGCCTCCCTGGTTCAAGCGATTCTCCTGCCTCAGCTTCCCAAGTAGCTGGGATTACAGGTGCCTGCCACCAGGCTCGGCTAATTTTTGTATTTTTAGTAGAGACAGGGTTTCGCCTTGCTGGCCAGGCTGGTCTCAAACTCCCGACCTCAGGCGATCCGCCCGCCTCGGCCTCCCAAAGTGCTGAGATTACCGGCTTGAGCCACCACGCCCGTCCAATATCGCATTTTTAAAACAATCAATGTCCCCCTGGAATTGATACTGGTTCTACTATCTGTGAGGGTACAGAATTTTCCTTAAAAAAGAAATTGTCTTTGCAATGCCATGAGACAGAATTGGAGAGAGAAGGGGAGAAAAAACAACATATTGTCTTTTGGTCTGAGCTTATGTTCTTCTAACTTTTATTCTAGCTTGTTGCTGTTAAATGTCTTTCCTTTCCTAAAATTATGAAGATCATAGATAGGAGTCAATTTTTTAAAATGTGTTTACTGGCTAGGTGCTGTAGTTCACACCTATAATCCCAGCACTTTGGGAGGTTGAGGCAGGAGGATCACTTGAGGCCACGATTTTGAGACCAGCCTGGGCAACACAGTGAGACCCCATCTCTACAAAAAAATTAGAAAATTAGCTGGGTGTGGTGACATTCACCTGTAGTCCCAGCTACTCGGGAGGCTGAGGTGGGAGGATGACTTGAGCCCAGAAGTTCGAGGCTTCAGTGAGCTCTGATTGTGTCACTGCATTCCAGTCTGGGTGACAGAGTGAGACCCTGTCTCAAAATGAAACAAACCAAACAAAAAATATGCTTACTTATATGTATAAAGAGTTGAACATCTTATGTCAGTCATCTGTTAAAAAAAATTGTGTTTGTGTGTATTTTTTTTTTTTTTTTTAGAGCCAGAGTCTTGCTATGTTGCCTAGGCTAGAGTGCAGTGGCTATTCACAGCCATGATTATAATGCACTACACCCTCAAACTCCCAGCCCCAAGAGATCCTCCCACCTCAGCCTCCTGAGTAGCTGGGCCTCCAGGCACACATCACTACTACTGACTAAAAAAAAAAAAAAAAAAAAAAAAAAGAATTAATTTGTCCATAACATCCAGAAGTTTGTGGACCACTGTGCCAGGTATTCTTCACTGACCTAAAAAGACAACGGTGAGTAATATAGCATCCTAATCTTGAATGCTGGCAATGGATACCAGCCTTGAATCCAAACGGGAGCCAAACTACAGAATAGGTACTGTGCTTCATCTTGATTGTGAATGTGAGAAAATGGACTTCTATGGGAGCTATGTTGCCCTCACAAAATAGGCTCTAAGACTGCCAAGGTCTCAAGTAAGCATTACTAATCACTGATCAAAAAATTGCTCATGGAATGGAAAATAGAATGATATAAGTTACCACGGGCTGAGGAGAGGGGAAGATGGAAAGTTGTTCTTTAATGGATACAGAGTTTCAGTTTTGCAAAATGAAAAACTTCTGGAGATCTATTGTACAACAAT
Organism: Homo sapiens; assembly: GCF_000001405.40. Lineage (NCBI taxonomy): Eukaryota > Metazoa > Chordata > Mammalia > Primates > Hominidae > Homo > Homo sapiens. Next base: position 25,890,031 of record NC_000002.12, on the reverse strand, counting down.
GTGAATATACTTCAGGCTATTGAACTGTATACTTAAAAATGTTTAAAAAGGTTTTTGTTGTTGTCGTTGTTGTTGTTGTTTTCAGATGGAGTTTCACTCCTGTTGCCCAGGCTAGAGTACAATGGCACGATCTCAGCTTACCGCAACCTCTGCCTCCCAGTTCAAGTGATTCTCCTGCCTCAGCCTCACTAGTAGCTAGGATTACAGGCATGTGCCACCACGCCTGGCTAATTTTTTGTATTTTTAGTTGAAATGGGGTTTGTCCATGTTGGTCAGGCTGGTCTCGAACTCCTGACCTCAGGTGATCCGCCCGCCTCGGCCTTCCAAAGTGCTGGGATTACAGGCGTGAGCCACTGCGTCCGGCCTTTAAAAAGTTTTTTTTAAAAAAAACCTTTAATTGTGGTAAAAAAGTATATAACAAAATTGACCATCACTGGCGGGTGTGGTGGCTCATGCCTGTAATCCCAGCACTTTGGGAGGCCAAGGTGGGTGGATCACGAGGTCAGGAGTTCAAGATCAACCTGACCAAGATGGTGAAACCCCGCCTCTACTAAAAATACAAAAAAAATTAGCCAGGCGTGGTGGCATGCGCCTGTAGCCCCAGCTACTCGGGAGGCTGAGGCAGAAGAATCACTTGAACTTGGGAGGTGGAGGTTTCAGTGAGCAGAGATTGTGCAACTGCACTCCAGCCTGGGAGACAGAGTGAGACTCCGTCTCAAAAAAAAATAAAGAAAGAGTCTTCTTTTCATAATTCCAAATTCCAGCCCGACTACCCTTAGATACTTACTTTTAACATTATTTTGTGTATCCTTCCAGAAATTTTATTTGTACCCACCAGCATGGTTGCAGAGTACACTAGCATGTGGGAAGTTCATTAGAGGTGCCTTCAGGATCAACACCTGTGGAGGAAGTGAAGGAAGCAGGATTGAGCAGATGGAGAAGGTGGACTCTGCTACACTTTCAGCAAATGTTTCAGCCAACTCCATGGGAGCTCTGAAGCCAGGCTAGCACCTCAGGGTCATCCTGAGTCAAGGTGAGGTGGCCAGGCCTTTATACCCCAACATATTGGATACAAGCTGCCCTCAGAAGTGATCCTGAGCAGAATGGCTCTCTTCAGCTGAGGAAAGTCTCAGAGAAAATTCCCAACAGCTGGGGGAGTAAGTATTTCAGTCCTGAAGGGGAGGATGGGACGTGAATCCGAGTTTTACATATAGTCCACTTGGAACCACTTATTGTGTGGGTTCTGGGAGCAGCTCTTCCTGGATTCTGGTGGGCCTCTTCCCCTGAGAGAAGTTTATAAGGAGAGGAGAGTGGGGGAAAGACAGCCTCCACCACTGCAGTTGATCGCAAGGTTGCAACTCTACTCATTGTCTCCCTCCTCTACTATCCAAATGCAGATTCCTCTTCCCGTTAGTGCCTCTGCTGGTCTAGGCGGCCTACTTGGTGATACAGCCCAGACTTTCATGCCCAAAGGGTCTAAGCACCTGCTAACAATCATGGAGTGCAGTGGCGCGATCTCGGCTCACTGCAACCTCTGCCTCCTGGGCTCAAGCAATTCTCTTGCCTCAGCCTCCCAACTAGCTGGCGCTCGCCACTACGCCCAGCTAATTTTTGTATTTTAAGTAGAGATGGGGTTTCACTAGGTTGGCCAGGCTGGTCTCGAACTCCTGACCTCAAGCAATCCACCCACCTCAGCCTCCCAAAGTGCTGGGATTACAGGTGTGAGCCACCGTGCCTGGTCAACAATCCTTGTTAAAGCTATGGCTGATGTACCATTTACTAACAAAATTGGGTAAGATAGTACTAAGGGACAGCTAAGAGGATCCCTTCAGGGGATCCCTTCAGGACAGCTAACAGGGTCCTTTCAGCTTCCATGGTGTAACATAATCTGAACTTCCTCTTTTGTTGTTTTTTTGTTTTGTTCTGTATTGAGACAGGGTCTTGCTCTGTTGCCCAGGCGGGAGGGCAGTGGCACAATCTCAGCTCACTGCAACCTCTGCCTCCTGTGCTGAAGTGATCCTCCCACCTCAGCCTCCTGAGTAGCTAGGACTACAGGCATGTATCACCACGCTTGGCTAGTTTTTGTATTTTTGGTAGAGATGGGGTTTCACTATGTTGGCCATGAGGTCTTGAACTCCTGACTTCAAGTGATCTGCCCACCTTGGCCTTCCAAAGTTCTGGGATTACATGGATGAGTCACCATGCATGGCCCCTACTTCCTCCTGATGATCAGGATCAATTACCCCGACAACGTGGTGACTTCTCTTTATGTTGTCTGGTCCTTTGACACAGGAGTCTGAAGTGCTCAGGCAGCAACCGTAAAGTTCAGTGGGACTCTTGCTGTGCCTCTTGGTGGAAACAGTCCCCTTGGAAATCAGAATTTCTAAACTCACAGAGCCCAGAGCTGAGGGGATGGGATGCATAAAGCTGAGCCATTTCTTTTTCCACCCCTTTGTTTCCAGACCCACGTATTCTACCTATTAGGGACATAACACCATAGGTTGGTCATTAATTTAGAGCGGCTAAATGTGTTTTTGAGGGTGGTGTCTGTCCTCACAGGGTACATCTCTGCCCTGGTTTCTCAGTGCGCCATGAGTGGGCCATGGCATTGCTCAATCAGGCCAAAAGTTTCTGCGTAGTTAGGATGACAGTAGACTACTGTAAATTCAATTAGTATCTTCAATAGCTATATGACTTGAAGAATTATATACTTTTTGAAAAATAAAGCCTCTGGGACCAGAAGATCCCAAAGTCATGTGTCCACTGCCATATCTTCTTTGTTATAAAATGGGCTCTTTCCCGGCTGAAATGAGAGTACCTGCTTTCAGTACAACGATCCCAGCCGCCGAGGGGTCATCGAAGATCCTGCCTTGATTCGTTGGACCTATCCAAGATCAGCAAATGTCTATCCAAATTTCAGACCCACTCCTAAAAACTCACTCTTGGGAACTCTGTGTGGATTTAGGCCCCTCTTCTTCTGGTATTACATTTTCAAAACTGACAGAGATAGGAAAGAAAAACTTATCCGGGAAGGAAAATTGGATGGAACATTTAACCTTTCATATTAAGTCTGGCAATGATGACTATATGTATTCCTGCCTTAATAGTCTATTAATCATTAATAAATAAATAAATAAATAAATAAATAAAATGGGCTCTTTATGGCCAGGAGCGGTGGCTCACACCTGTAATCCCAGCACTTTGGGAGGCGGATGCAGGCAGATCACCTGAGGTCAGGAGTTTGAGACCAGCCTGGCCAACATAGTGAAACCCTGTCTCTACTAAAAATACAAAAGATTAGCTGAGGATGGTGGCATGCACCTGTAATCCCAGCTATTAGGGAGGCTGAGGCAGGAGAATCGCTTGAACCTTGGAGGCAGAGGTTGCAGTGAGCCGAGATCGTGCCATTGCACTCCAGCCTGGGCAACAAGAGCAAAACTCCGTCTCAAAAAAAAAAAAAAGGGCTCTTTGTTTTGATGCACTGTTATATGAGATCCCTTATCAATGGAGCAAATATTTTGTAAGCTCTTGAAAGTGGTGCTGGCTGAGCACACTTTGAGGCTCTATTAGTAGGAAAGGCAAACTCATACCTGAAATAGATGCATATTCCAGTTAAAATGAATTGCTGCCCCTTGTAAGGTGAAGGGGTCCACTGTAGGCAACTTACCTCCAAGTGGCTGATTGGTGTACTTGAGGGATGGTGTCAAATCAGGGGGTTGGTTTTCATCTTTCTTGCTGGCAGATTGGACATTCAGTAGCAGTAGTAGGTAAAAGTTCAGTGGTGAGTGGGAACCCACGGTGTTGGGTCCATTTGTAGCCTCCATTCCTGCCACCATGTCTACTATGTTCATAGATGAATTATGTACCACCGCAGTGGTCAATGACAGAGTCTGCCTGATGTTAACTGACTGAGTCATTCTGCCTATTTGTTTGCTTAGTGCTTCATGCTTCTTCTATGCTTTTTTTTTTTTTTGAGACAGGGTCTTACTCTGTCAGCCAGGCTGGAATGCAGTGGTGTGATCATGGCTCACTGCAGCCTCACCCTCCTGGGCTCAACTGATCCTCCTGCCTCAGTTTCCTGAGTAGTGGGGACTACAGGCGCATGCCACCATGCCCAGCTAATTTTTAAAATATTATTTTTGGCTGGGCACAGTGGCTCACACCTGTAATCCCAGCACTTTGGGAGGCTGAGGCGGGCGGATCATGAGGTCAAGAGTTTGAGACCAGCCTGATCAATACAGTGAAACCCCGTCTCTACTAAAAATACAAAAATTAGCCAGGCATGGTGGCATGCACCTATAATCCTAGCTACTCAGGAGGTTGAGGCAGGAGAATCGCTTGAACCCAGGGGGCAGAAGTTGCAGTGAGCCAAAATCACGCCATTGCACTCCAGCTTGGGCGACAGAGCGAGACTCCGTCTCAAAGAAAAAAAAAAAGAAAAAAACCACATTATTTTCTGTAGACACAGGGTCTTGCTATGTTGCCCAAGCTGGTCTTAAACTACTGGCATCAAGTGATCCTCCCACCTCAGCCTTTCAAAGAGCCACCATACTCAGCCAATGTTATTCTACGCTTTCTGGTGAGTATTAATATGAGCATTAAACATGAGATCTTCATATTTTGTGTTCATAGGTTCATCCACATATCTCTATCCCAACCTCATTACCTCTGATCTTATAGTCTTTTTTGTTCCATGACCCCGACCACTTGGCTGAGCTCTTCTCCACCTACCATGAATCCGTTTATATTCTGACCTTGGGCCATTTCTCTTTCCACACAAAGTAGATAATCCAGTACACTGCCTGAACTTCTGCACATTGGAAGGCTGTCCCTTCACTCCTGTTGTTCAAAGCTATTCTTGAATGGGACTGTAAGGCTGGTGAAGTCCATTTTCATCTTGCACCTTGTATTAATCTGTTCTTACAGTGCTATAAAGAAATTCCTGAAACTGGGTCATTTATAAAGAAAATTGGTTTAATTGTCTCGTGGTTCCACAGGCTGTACAGGAAGTATGGCTGGGGAGGCCTCAGGAAACTTACAATCAAGGTGGAAGGTGAAAGGGAAGCAGGCACCTCTTACATGGTTGGAGCAGGAGGAAAAGAGAGTGAAGGGGAAGGTGCTATACACTTTTTAAAAGAAATTTAATTTTTTTTATTACACTTTAAGTTCTGGGATACATGTGCAGAATGTGCAGGTTTGTTAGATAGGTATACACATGCCATGGTGGTTTGCTGCACCCATCAACCTGTCATCTACATTAGGTATTTCTCTTAATGGTATCCCTCCCTTAGCCCCCCACCCCCTGGTACTACCTTTTTTTTTTTTTTTTTTTTTTTTAAGAGACGGAGTCTCACTCTGTCATCCAGGCTGGAGTGCAATGACGAGATCTCGGCTCATTGCACCTCCGCCTCCCAGGTTCAAGCAATTCTCCTGCCTCAGCCTCCCGAGTAGCTGGGATTACAGGTGCCTGCCACCACGCACTGCTAATTTTTGTATTTTTAGTAGAGATGGGATTTCACCATGTTGGCCAGGCTGGTCCCAGATCACTCCTGACCTCAAGTGATCCGCCTGCCTCAGCCACCCAAAGTGCTGGGATTACAGGTGTGAGCCACTGTGCCCGGCCAACTACACACTTTTAAACAACCAGATCTCATGAGAACTCACTCACTATCATGAGAACAGCAAGGGGGAAATCCACCTCCATGATCCAATCACGTCCCACAAGGTCCCTCCTCCAACAGTGGGAATTACAATTCAACATGAGATTTTGGTGGGGACACAAATCCAAACCATATCACACCTACATACCAAGATGACCTATCCATGAATCAAGCTTGGCTTTTCTTCTCCTCTGTTAGTTGGTCATAGGAAAATCTCCCATGCAGCCATAACGTGAGCTGAAGGAGAGGTGTCGAGGTGACAGTGGAGCATGAAATGGGAACTGGATCATCTGTTGATGCAGCTTTCTAGTGCTCTCTGGCCTGCTTGTGCACAGTTCCAGATGTACCACTTCCATCTTACAATGGGTTGCTAGTGAGCCCATCTGACCTTATGATTTGGTGGAGATGACTGACAGAAATAAGCTCATGATACAGTTTTCTAGTTGCATGGTCAAGTGCTCCATCTATACTAGGGCTTAATATTATGCCAGGAGCTATTTTCTCCAAAAGTGTATTATTTTTCACCATATGTGGCAACTGAAATTACTAATGAATTCAATTCGAGGTAGTCTACTGTCATCTTTCAGCATCCACTGGGCTTTTGTAGGGGCAAGATGAATGAATTAAACAGAAACATGGTGAGGACTAGACCCCTGAATACTTTAGGTCTTTAGGGATGCCATTTTCCCTGTGTTGGGATCTTGTTTTGATTTACTCTTTTGGCTGCTGCAGGAGAAATAGTTACCAGGTGGACCCAATTGTGGATTCACTATGAGTCAGAGCTGGACCAGGACTCCATATGACCAACATATGCCCCCACTCTAATAAAGCCATGATGACATACTGGGTTTTCAAGAAGCAGACTCTAAAATGAAGGTCAGTGTACAGGAAACTTACTGGAGAGTTCTCTCAGGAGCAACACTTGTGGGGGAAGGAAAGGAAGTAAATTTGGGCAGAAGGGGAATTTGAGGTCTGATGCAGTATCAACAAAGGCCTCATTCTTCTCCACTAGAGCTCTGAACTGGGATGGCTCACTGTTATTGTCCTACAGCGGGGCAGGGGGGCCAGGCCTTTATAGTCTCCATATCCATCAGTCATTGGACACAGGCTGTCACAGGAATGCAGCATGACCTTGGATAAGGTAGTTTTCTTCAACAGTACCCCTAGAAGCTGGGGAAATAAGTCCTTCAGTCTTGAAAGGGCAGCTAGGTGGCACATCACAGCATCAACTACAGATACACATACACACACGTACACACACACACCCCACTCCCCATATATATTATTCCAGGTACTTAGTTGCTAAAGAAAAAAAGACAGATAAAAGAAACCAATTCTGGCTAATTTAAACAGGCAAAAAAAAATTTTTTTTTTAAATCCTAGATGGCTTAGGCTGGGTGCAGTGGCAGCTCACGCTTGTAATCCCAGCACTTTGGGAGGCCGAGGCAGGTGGATCACCTGAGGTCAGGAGTTCGAGACCTGCCTGGCCAACATGGTGAAACTCCATCTTTACTAAAAATACAAAACAACTAGCCAGGCGTGGTGGTGGATGCCTGTAATCCCAGCTACTCAGGAGGCTGAGGCAGGAGAATCACTTGGACCCGGGAGGCAGAGGGAGCGAAACTCTACCTCAAAACAAACAAGAAAAACAAGATCGCTTACAGAATCTGTAGGATATCTAGTGATCCTAGCCTGGAAATTACCACTAACGGTAATAGTGGCCAAAATACCACTGCAGAGCTGGCCTTTTGAAGACTCTGCAACTCGTATCACTGACATCACTGATCCTGAATATCACTAGTGTCCGATTCAATGTCTAGGGCAGAAATAAATGATTGGTGGAGCCTAGGGCATGTTCCTATGCCCTACCCAAAACGGAGGGTAGGTATTTTCAATTTCTATAGTGGGTGGGAAATTTCCAAATATGGGAAGGGGGCTTGGATACTTGTAGCCAAAAAAAGAAAAAAAAAAAGGCTATCTTACTCCCCCATTTTTTTCATCAGAAGGAACCCTATTATACATGTGATTCTATACATTGCCTTTTTCACTTTAATTAATATTCCTTAGATCTCTTTCCACAACTGAGTAGCAATCCTTGTATACAAGGATTATTTATAATAGCACTGAAATGTTAACTATAGGAGACTAGATAAAATTATTGTACATAATCCAAACAATGGAATGCTATGTAACTATTTAAAATTATGCTATATGTTAGAGTTTGAGGGTGTCAACTTGCCCAAGTTTCAGAAAAAATGGAAAGATATCTACAGGAGACAAGCAGATGGAGATAAAAATATCACATTCATAATAAAACTGTTGAAGATAAAACAGCTTCTGTGTGAGGGCCAAATGGGCTTGCTAGCGCTTCCTGTCCCCAACTTTGCCAAGTCTAGACCTGATGATATCTTATCTGAGTGAAAAGTTTGGTTCTACAGAGGAGACATACTTAACGAGGGGCCATTCATGCTCAACCAAGTTGTGAGGCTGAGGCTAGGTTTTCCTTAGCTTCTTCCCTTCTCTCTCTTTTTTTTTTTTTTTTGAATCAGGGTTTCACTCTATTGCCCAGGCTAGAGTGGGGTGGCGTGATCTCGGCTCACCACAACCTCCACCTCCCAGGTTCCAGTGATTCTCCCACCTCAGCCTCCTAAGTATCTGGGACTACTGCCTTGAGCCACCACGCCCGGCTAATTTTTGTATTTTTTGGTAGAGACCGTGTTTCACCATGTTGGCCAGGCTGGTCTCGAACTCCTGACTTCAAGTGATCTGCCCACCTTGGCCTCCCAAAGTGCTGAGATTACAGGCATGAGACACTGCGCCTGGCCAGCTTCTTCCCTTCTCTATGATGCTTCCCTCACACCGTTACAGGTTTCTTCTGAGAGCACTCCAATATATAACTTGCAGAAGGAGTCAAGGCTCAGTCTCTGCTTCCACAGACAAAACGAATATCTGTAGAATTTTTACAATGAGCAGTTTGGTAAAGATGAAAAAAAAGTTAATTTTATTGTGAAAATAAAAATCTCATGTGGATTCCAAGATAAAGCATTTGAAGGGGTTGGGGCTGAATATCTGTAGTCTAAAAATCCTTGATTTCACTTTCTGCAGTACACTAAGCCAAAGTTTGTCAAAGCAGGTCATTCACTTTACCACAAAAGAGTCAGACCTTGATTTGTAGATGTAAAGCATTGTTACACTTAGTAGGGCAGAGGAGTGGGTGGAAGTTGTGAAAGTAGAGATGGTGAGTGTAGGTTACACATTCAAGATATTTATGGGCAAGAAAGAGAGGAAAAATAATTTGATATGGTAGGGTGGTAGGGTAAAGAGACTTCCTTAAGCTGGAAGTGTCTTGAATATGCTTGTAGAAGGAGGGGGAGGGGTATCAGAACTAGAAAATAATGAAAAAAGTGGAGTAACATTCCAAGGCAGATGAGAAGGGATAGTGTCCTGTATACGGTATATTAGAGGAGGGATTAGGCTATGCTAAGGAGGAGGAGGCAGTTAGAATGCGCGGACTTATGGGTAAATTTAGGGGTTGAAGACAAGGTGAGACTGCAACTGGGGGGCCAATAATTTTTACATGATATATGAAGCAATGTCATTAGTTAAATGAAGAGGCGAAAGTAGAGGTGGGGTCTTCAGGGGAGTGGCAAATGCTGATGGAAGTAACCAGAGATACATCAAAGGATGACTAAGTTGATTATAGAAACTGTATCTGTAAAGCTAAGAAACTGTGACTCAATCAAGAGGATATCTTAGGGAGGATATCTTAGTAGGGTAGTGGGTGGAGTTTTAAGAAGATAGATTTGGCATTCCCTGTAGGATGGGCTTGAGTAGGGTGAGAAAAGAAACAGACTATCTAAGGAAATCCAGAAGGAGGGTGGGGATGATGAGAGAGATGCAAATACACATAACAAATTCAATCAATAGACATGGGGACAAAATACTTTTTGGGGAATTATACTTTTATAATAATAATAAACTATCTGTATCTGTGGAAGATTAAGAAGTAGGAACCACAACATCACAATCCCTACCCTTGAAATTCAAACCTGGGGATAGAGCTCCAGAAATGCAAAGTAAGGACCCTAGTAAGGTCTGAAAACCAGTTGGGGCTCCAGGACCAAACAACAGGACTGGATGATAAGCTGTACTCAGCTCAACAGCCAGGGATGGAGAAGACCTTTTTTTCTCTTCTCTCTTTCTCTTTCTTTCTCTCTGTCTCTCTTTCTTTTTTGAGACAGAGTCTTGCTCTGTTGCCCAGGCTGGAGTGTAATGGCGCGATCTCTGGGCTCACTGCAACCTCTGCCTCCCAGGTTCAAGCGATTCTCCTGCCTCAGCCTCCCAAGTAGCTGGGATTACAGGCGCATGCCACCAGGCCCAGCTAATTTTTGTATTTTTAGTAGAGATGGGGTTTCTCCATGTTGGCCAGGCTTGTCTTGAACTCTTGGCCTCAAGTGATCTGACCACCTCAGCCTCCCAAAATGCTGGGATTACAGGCGTGAGCCACCGCACCTGGCGAGAAGGCCTTCTTAGACTACAGACATAAGCTTTGGAGGGAGGTGGTACATACTACCTGTGTAATGCATAAGGCTATGAATTACCAAAGACATTTGGGAAAATATATCCATATCAATTGCTGAAATAGGCTGTTTGATCCATGACTGAACGGAAATATAAGGAAGTATCTAGATACTTCTAGATGGCCTCTCAAACTCCCTTTAATATCTTTTTCTCTTTTTTTTTTGCACAACAGATCCTTTTTGAAAAATGGAGGAAAAGTTATGAATCCTCTTAAAAAATTCACATATAACACACAAAATATAGTTCATAATTTTAGGGAGTCCATGAATTTCTGAAACGCATCCATAAACTTTAAGTATTGCTCTCACCTGTCTTTCCTCCCAAGAGGCAATCCAATCCTCAGTCCTATTTCACACTATAGTAAGTTTACTGGATTGTTTGGAAGCAGCTTCTGGAAGCAGGTGGATTTGGGAGATCAGCAGTTGTTACTACATTCTTCTTACTTTGCAAGGTATCAAGGTGTAGATGATGTAAGAGAAGATGCCACATTCTGGATCTTTCAGAAAGCTGTTACGGATACTACAAATAATGGTCTCTGACCACAGAAATAGGTGAATCATTCAGCAAATATTTACTGGGCGCCTGATATGTACAGGCACTATGCTAGGGACTGAGCTCACCGAAATAAAGAAGACACCATTTCTGTCATTGATGAGTAGCTTCACATGTAAAAGCATGGATGCAGTTACTGGTGGCCTTAAAAACAAAGTCACCTAAGTTTGAGGCATTCTGGGGAGATGGAAAGGGCTCTGAGCTGGCAATTTGATTTTTGGTTTCTCTACATCCCAGACTTATGAGCTTGGCAAGTCACTCAATCTCAGTTGCTTCGCCTATCGAATGGGGTTAATAGGCAGACGAGAATTGTTGCCTATCTTCAAAAAGATAACCTCTGTAAAAATGCAAATAAATGAGAAAACACAAACGCAGGGCTGATCTAAAGTGATAGTTGGCAGAGCCACCCACTGAGGGAAGAGTTCAGCTCCCCAGGTCTACACAGCCTGTGCAGCGCCTCGCAAGAGGCGGGATCCGCTCAGTAAGCTTTCCCGGATGGCACAGGTTCCGCTTCCGCAGGCAGATATTCGCTGTAGGTGTGAGCGCCAGGCGTCAGACTACAGCTACTGCCGGGGCCTCCTTGGCGCGCATGCTCCTGCGGAGAGGCGGAGACCGGAAGGGCGGGGGCGTGGCGAGGTACCGCAGACCGCCGGCTCGATAGCTCAGCGGCCGGGCTTGGGAGGCGGGGGCGCGCCCGCGCTCGTTCGCGCGGCCGGCTGCGTACAGTAGTGACGGCCGCGCGGGAGCGGTCACATGACCGTAGCGGCAGCCTGTACAGTAAGAACCCAATATGGCAGCGGCGGTAGCAGTGGCAACGGCAGCAAGAGGACCGGCCGCCCCATAGACCCCCCCGCGCACCACCCCCGCCGCTTCCTCTGCTTGGGTGCCCCCCCGGTCTGACTTCCCTTTTCTCCCACCTTTCCCGGCACCGCGGGAAAAGCAGCGCAGGGCAGAGCAGGCAGGGAGGGCGGCCGGAGCCCGGACACGGGAGCCTCCCAGTCAGTTCAAGACCCGACATGAGGGAAAAGGGACGTAGGAAGAAGGGCAGGACCTGGGCGGAGGCCGCCAAGACGGTAAGGGGGAGGGAGCGAAGGGGAAGGCCGGGAGGATTTTGTTCCCTTGTCGCCCGCCAGTCGCAGGGAAAGGGAGGTCACTGGCCCAGGGACCCGGCTGAAGGGGCACAAAACCGCGCGGAGAGGGCGGCGGTTAGTGTCGGGGTTGCGATCCCTGTGGGAATGGAGGCGCCCGGCGGAACGTGATAGCCGCGGGGCCGTGGCGTCCCTCGGCGTCTGCGGCGAGTCCTCTCAGTGTTTTGAGGCTGTCTTTTGGGGTCGAGCCGATATCACCTCCGCTCTGTGGTAGCCCTCGCCCCGGCACGGGGAAGTCTGTGGTGCTTGCACGGTAACCGGTTCTTCTCCCTTGTGCGGCTGGAGAGCCCCCATTGGATGCAGATAGGAGAAGGCTTGTGCGTGCATCCAGCCCCGGAAAGGAGAGGGGAGCGCTGGAGCTGGATAGAATTTACCCGTTACAGCGGACGTGCCTGTGACCCCGGGCCCCCTGTTTGTCTGGCTCCCGGAGCAGACGAGAGATCACGAGGCTTTTGTTTTTGTTTGGTGTTGGAGCCGAAAGTGCAGGAGGTGTTTAGAAACGAAGTAACAGGTGGGACTTGTAGAATTTTTTTTTTTCCTGTTTCCGTAGAGACCTACTCTGAACAAGGCAGCAATGCATGGTGGGACGTGTAGTTTACCCGGCCTTCACGTTACCCTAGCCAAAGGGATGGTGCCCTAATGAAGTTGTAATTAGTGGGCAAAACAATTTTCCCCCTAATTGTGTTATGACGAAATTTAGAGGTAGATTTTAAAAAGTGGAATATTGAGGATTAGTGAGAACTTTTACCATATTTTAAGAAGAAAAAATTAAAAGCATGTTGTATGCAGAAATGAAATGGCAGGAGATAGTGAAGTTCATACATCGTTGAGGGTGCAGCAGAAAAGTAATAGGGCATTAAACGGCAGCATTTTAATAGTGGAAAGTGAGAGGTGTTCACCCCTTTAATGGTGATTAATGCCGGTAATACTTCGACAACGTAGCCCTTCTTAGTGAACCCTTATTAGATGCCATATGGTTTATTTTTTAATGAGTTTTTTAAATATAAAAGTAATGTTCACTGTGGGGAAATTTGGAAAATTATAAAAAAGTATAAAGAAGAACATTTAAAAAAAATCACATTTATTTCACCGCTCGGCTGTATCTGCTAACATTTGGTATATTACCGTCTAGTCTCTTTATTTCCCCAAATCTAGGTCATACTGTTTATTCAGTCTTGTGCATTTGTTTCTAAACTTTGTGCATTTGTTTTGTAAACTTTATGCATTAGGAGGTTGATGAGTTTTCAATTTGTATCTCTCTTAGTTGGAAATGTAAAAAAGTTAAGAAATAATAGCACATTTTACTTACTGGGTGTTTTCACTTACAATATGTCTTTGTATATCTTCCTGTGCTAGTAGTTTCCCTCTAAAAGATAAGACTCCTATACTTTTTTTTGAAGGTGTAGAGGTTGCATCCCCACAGAGGGCTGTTTTACTCTCAGTATACCTCAAGACCTCTTTCTGTTAATAAAAGAAGCATGATAAATTTTAATTATAGGTAAGCAGACCTGGACCCTAATTTATGCTAATTAATTTTAAGTTCCTAGGGTCTTTAAAATTGTTTTTTTAATTAAAAATATTTTGTAGAGACAGGGTCTTTCTATGTTGCCCAGGCTAGGCTAGTCTTGAACTCCTGGGCTGAAGCAGTCCTCCTGCCGTTGGCCTCTCAAAGCACTAATATTACACAAGTTTCTAGAATCTTAGGAGTGTTTTTTGAATTATGATCCCTTTGATAAAATAGTCATTGGGAGATTGCGACAAATAGGAAAAATTAGTCTGCATCTACTTAGCTTTTCCTATGTTAGTATATTTGCTCATTTCATGCCCTAGCTAGCTATGTGAAAAATAGTATTTAAAAGATGGAAAGACTACTTTGATCAGTAGAGTTCCTGAGGGTACCAGTATATTAGTAGCTTGGTATTTTTCTTTGATTCTGGCAAATACATGAAGCCCCAGTCTCAGTGAAAATGTGTTTTAGAAAGAGAATGATGACACTAAAGTTTTTCTAGTAGCCAAAATCTAGAAAACACTCTTAATTTTGGGGGGTTATTTTATTACCTATAAGTGAGGGGATTAAACTAAATCTCGGTGTTCAAAATATTTCTGTTTTTGGGATAAATAGATGAAAATAAAAGAAGGACCGGGCAAAGGTACATTTGTAATATTTCAGACTGTAGAATAATGAAATCAGAAAATTAGTGAGTTGACAAATGAAAGTAACTTTGACCTAAATAAGAATGTTAGTATTTAGATCCAGAGGAATAGGAAAAGAAGTTTTAAGGCTTAAACTTATTTCTTAGGCATTAGGATGTCAAGTGTTCGAGGAACAGTTTCATCAAGGAAGCAGGTGTCTGTTTCTTATTTCATGTGTTTTTGATACCTCCATTGTAGAGCTATCATGTTTTAGAGAGTACTATTAAAATAAGGTTGTTTTCCTGACCAATAATATACCAATAGATATATTCAACACATTAAATGTAGATATGTGATACTGGGATGATACGGGGTGTGTGTGTTTATGTGGGAGAGCTACATGGTTTGATGTAAGGTTATTATAAGCAAAATAATAAGATTCATAATTATTATCATTATTATTATAATTGTATTTATTTATTTAGAATCGTTTTGCTATGCTCTCCAGGCTGGAGTGCAGTGGCTTCACAGGTATGATCGTGGTGCACTAAAGCCTTGAACTTCTGGTCTCAAGTGATCATCCTGTCCTAGCTTCCCAAGTAGCTGGGACTATAGGCATGTGCCACTGTGCTTGGCTTCATAATTATTATATAATAGTAGATTATGCCAAAAGGCTGATAAAATGAACTTAAATATATACACTGGCTCCAGTAACTAAGGACACCAGAGAAAGGTGATGGAGCTGCGATTCACCTGATCTTGAATGTGCATTCACTACACTGGACTGCCTCCCTGTTGATCTTATTTAAATATGCTAGTTATAAAAAGCATTCTAGTATTTAGTTAACAGTTTCACATGTTTTACTTTTTCTTTTTTTGAGACAGGATCTTGCTCTGTCGCCCAAGCTGGAGTGCACTGCCACGATGGCGGCTCATGGCAACTCAGCCAACCCCTCAAGTGATCCTCCTGCCTCAGCCTCCTGAGTAGCTGGGAGTGCAGGTGTGCGCCACCATTCCCAGCTAATTAAAAAATTTTTTTTTGTAGAGAGAGGGTCTCCCTATGTTGCTCAGGCTGGTCTCAAACTCCTGGGCTCAAGTGATCCTCCTGCCTCAGCCTGCCAAAGTGCTGATATTATAGGCGTGGTCCACTATACTCAGCTGCATGTTTTAAATTTTAAGGGCAGTAGTGATGGTGGTAATGAATGATTTGAGCGAGAGACAAATAGTGTAGTGTTTAGTACAATTTAAATTTGAAAACTTGTAGCTAACCGGGGATATTGAGAGCCATTACATTGACTTTATTTTTTGAACCAGGGTCTCACTTTGTCACCAAGGCTAAAGTGCAGTCTTGTGATCGTGGCTCACTGCAACTTCCATCTCCTGGGCTCAAGGGCTCCTCCCTCCTTAGCCTGTGGAGTAGCTAGTACCACACACATGTGCCACCATGCCCAGCTAATTTTTTTGTGTGTGAGACGGGGTCTCACTTGGTTGCCCAGGCTGGAATGCAGTGGCGTGATCTTGGCTCACTGCAACTTCTGCCTGCCAGGCTCAAGCAATCCTCCCAGCTCAGCTTCCCAAGTAGCTGGGACTACAGGCATGCGCTGCCATACCTGGCTGATTTTTTAATTTTTTGTAGAGATGGGGTTTCGCCATGTTGCCCAGGCTGGTCTGAAACACCTGGACTCAAGCGATCTGCCCACCTCTGCCTCCCAGTGTGATGGGATTACAGGCATGAGCCACTGTGCGGGGCCCACAGCTAATCTTTAAACTTTTTTTTATAGAGACGGGGTCTCGCCAAGTTTCCCAGGCTGGTCTTGAACTCCTGGACTCAAGTGATCTGCCTGCCTCAGCCTCTCAAAGTGTTAGGATTACGGATGTGGGCCACTGCACCCTGCCTGCATTGACTTTAGAACTATGTTCAAAATTAGGCTCATTAAAAAGATGAATCATCTAAATATTTGATGACATCCTGAGGATTTTAGCAGTTTTTGCAAAGCAGAACTTTGAAAATAGCAGTCTTATTGATCTTGTTTGCCTTTTGACTTTTCTTTCCTTACCCATGGCTAGAAAAGCATTAAAAGGTGAAAGAGTCCCAAAAGGACAAGTGTGTGTGATTGTAGGTGGAAGGGATAGAGAGGCAGACTTTAGAGATTATACACTTAAGGGACATTGGGTGTTTTTTTGGGAGGAAAATGGTAAAAAAAAAAATATGAGAAACAAGGTGTGGGTGTTAGAGATGAGGAACATAACCTGTAGTGTAGATCTTTGGAATATAATTTGTAGACTGAAGAAGTAGTTTTTTTGTTTTTTTTTTTAATATATAGACTTTATTCATTGGTTAATTATTTTGAATGTACACAAGATTTTAGTTTTTGTCACTTAAAACTTTTGTCACTTTTGTCACTGCTAAAATCCTCAGGATGTCATCACATATTAATCATCTTTATTTAACTTTAGAAAATAAGGTGGAAGATAGAAAATTTCTATTAAAGATAGGCTAATTACTTTGATATAGGAAGTGTAGAAAATGGAAATATTATTATTTTTTGAGACAGAGTCTCACTCTGTCGTCAGTCTGGAGAGCAGTGGTGCAATCTCGGCTCACTGCAACCTCTGCCTCCTGGGTTCAAGTGATTCTTCCGCCTCAGCCTTCATAGTAGTTGAGATTACTGCACCTGGCCAATTTTTATAATACAAATTATAGAAAGTAAAACGGTAGATTTTTGGCTCATGGATTACATAAAAATTAGTGAGAAAGCATTGGCATGGGCTAAAACTTGAGAAACACTGACAGCTAAGCTATGAGGATGCAAAGGAATAAGAACAATGGAATGGACTTTGGGGACTCTGGGTGGGGAAAGGGTGGGAGGGTGATGAGAGATAAAAGACTACACATTGGGTACAGTGTACACCGCTCGGGTGATGGGTGCACCAAAATCTCAGAAATCACCACTAAAGAACTTATCCATGTAACCAAACACCACCTTTTCCCCAAAAACTATTGGGGAAAAAAACAAAAAAAGAACTTACAACCTCCCAAGAGCCAATAAATAGAGACTTCTGGGAAAAAAAAAATTCTCCTGAGAAACCGTCTGGGCTAAGTGCTTTTTGGTGAGCTAATTCCTTGATAGTTTTGTCTATTTATTCTGTGGAACTTAGTTTGCTTAAGCGTCCTCTCTCTACTAGGGTCAATTTTAGTAAACTGTTTTCATTAACAGTTATCCATATAATAGAGATTCTCAAATTTATTTGCCTAAAGCTATGGAAAATAATCTCATAGAATTTAAAATTTTTCCTCTCTATAGTTATTTCTCCCTTATCAATGCTTACTTTGTATATTTGTATTACTATCTTCTTTATTAATTTTGCTAGTGATTTATCTGTTTTGTTGGGTGCTTTTGTTTTCCCCTAAGTAAACAGATTTTGTTTATGAATTGTTTTTCTGTTCTCTGACCTTATTAGTTTTCACTTATACCTTTACAATTTTACTCTTAGACTTTGTTTTGGTTTCTTTTGTTATCTTTCTAGCTATTTGAGTTGGGAATTTATTTAAGTTTTAATTTTTTTTTTCTCCTTGAGACAGGGTCTTGCTGTGTTGCCCAGACTGGAGTGCGGTGGTGCGATCTTAGCTCACTGCAGCTTCTGCCTCCCAGGCTCAAGGGATCCTCTTGCCTCAGCCTCCCAAGTAGCTGGGACCACAAGCACGCACTACCACGCCTGGCTAATTTTTGTATTTTTTGTAGAGATGGGGTTTTGCCATGCTGCCCAGCCTGGTCTCAAATTCTTGGGCTCTCGCAATGGACCCAAAGTGTTGGGATTACAGGCGTGAGCCACTGTGCCCTGCTAATTTTTAATTTATGTAGCTCTTTGGGCTTGTGAATTTTCCTCTGATCTCTGCTTTACATTTATCCCATAGATCTGTTATGCAAAATTTTCACTCATTGTTTTTCTGAAATTCTATAATTTATTTCTCCTTTTCACCCAAGAGTTTAATAAAAAGTTCTTTAATTTTTAAAAAAATTGAGGAACTGCTCTGATGCATAATTTTCAAAACAACTGTGTATTTACATTCGTCAAATTACTTTCTGCAAGTCTGTTAGTACAAGGTGACTTGATGTAACACTTTTTGCTTGACTGATCTTTCCTTCTTGCCATATTATTTAAAGTTCTCCTGCATAAATTTTGTGTTAATTTCAAATTAGCCAGGTGTGGGTGGCGCATGCCTGTAATCTCAGCTACTCAGGAGGCTGAGGCAGGAGAATCACTTGAACCCGGGAGGCGGAGGTTGCGGTGAGCCGAGATCGTGCCATTGCACTCCAGCCTGGGCAACAAGAGTGAAACTCTGTCTCAAAAACCAAAATAAATAAAATTTTGTGTTAATTTCATAATTTTTTCTGACCTGTTTTTATTCCTCTATCCTGAAAGCCCACAAGCCTCCTAGTTTGTTGAAGGAGGGGAAAAAAGCAGATTTTTTTTTGAACACTTAAATTAAAAATTTCTATGAAAGGTGCTGCTGCTGCTGCTACTCCTGCATCTCTTGTAGAATTCTGAAAGGCGTTGAGAAAATAACCTCAGGTTTGCAAAAGTCCTTTCTGCTTCCCCATCCACAGATTCTATCTACTCTTGAGAGGCTGGACAATTTTGCTGTGGGACATTTTTCCCCCCCTCTACGAAAGCTGTCTGGAAGGAGGCCAGTGTGGAAGATATAACTAAACTTGCTATCTTTGTCCTGTTTACAAAAGAACTCTGAATACCCCTCTATTTCTGTATTCTTTCTTTTTACATCTCATAGAGGCCATCCTCATAGTTGATATTTTTAAATTTAGTATTTTTAGTACAGTGTGATTTGTTATGTTTTTACTATTGTTAAAAGGTTATTGAATGAGCTAAATTTTAGAACTCTAAATATGATTTAAAAACTGTTACTTGCTTTAAATTTATTTCCTATTCAAGTTATATAGGCTCATTATGTTTTAAAAAAACAAGAAACAAGTAGAAGTATGTAAAGAGTTAATCCTAGATGAGTCAGTATACTGAAAACAGGAATTAAGTGAAAGTCTGCATACTGAAATATTGAAAATATTTACTTACCATACCGAAATTAACTCTGGTTGATAGTTAAATATGGCTTTCTGGATTTTTTTTTACCTCGTATATACAAACAGGTATACCTTTATTTTACATGAAATTCTATAACTTTATTTTATGAATATCATGGATAGCTTGTCGTGTCATTACTTGTGTATTTAATATCTGCCTTATTCTTTTCTTCTTTTTCTTTTTTGAGGTGGGGTCTTGCTCTGTCACTCAGGCTGGAGTGCAGTGGCATTCAATCACGGCTTACTGAAGCCTTGACCTCCTGGGCTCAAACAATCCTCCTGCCTCAGCTTCCTGAGTAGCCAGGACAACAGGGATGTGCCACCAGGCCAGGTTAATTTTTTGTTTTTAAACGGAGCCTGGCGACAGACTGCAGTGGCGCAATCTTGGCTCACTGCAACCTCCGCCTCCTGGGTTCAAGTGATTCTCCTGCCTCAGTCCTCCCGAGTAGCTGGGACTACAGGCACGCACCACCATGCCCAGCTAATTTTTGTATTTTTAGTAGAGATGGGGTTTCACCATGTTGGCCAGGATGGTCTCAATCTCTTGACCTCTTGATCCATCCACCTTGGCCTCCCAAAGTGCTGGGATTACAGGTGTGAGCCACTGCGCCGGCCACCAGGTTATTAATAAAAATTTTTATTTTTTGTACAGATGGGGGCTGACTATGTTCCCCACCCAGGCTGTATTACATCTTCTGAAGATGCATCTGAGTTGTTAGCTTCCATGGTGAACTGTGGCTTGAGTGGAGATTCTGTAATAAAGACCTTCTATAAGTTAACGAATGCTTCTTTCATCATAAAGACTATGTAGTGCACTACAGCATCAAACTCCTGGGCTTAAGCTATCGTCCACCTCAGCCTCCCAAGTGGCTGGGACCACAGACATGCATCACCACGCCAGGCTAATGCCTTATTCTTTTCAATGTTTCTTTCTTTTTTTTTTTTTAGTATTTCATTGTTACTGGATATACCATCATTAAAAAAAATCGGTCCCTGATTATTTAACATACAGGTAATTTATAATTTTTTTCACTTTTTTTTTTGAAACAGGGTCTTGCTCTGTCGCCCAGGCTGGAGTGCAGTGGCGTAATCTTGGCTCACTGCAGCCTCCAGCTCCCAGGTTCAAGCGATTCTCCTGCCTCAGCCTCCCGAGTAGCTGCACTACAGGCGCACGCCACCATGCCTTGCTAATTTTTGTAATTTTAGTAGAGATGGGTGAATATTGGTCAGGCTGGTCTCGAACTCCTGACCTAAGGTGATCCAACCACCTCGACCTCCCAAAGTTCTGGGATTACAGGCATGAGCCACTGCACCCGGCTGTGAAATACTTTTTTTATTGTGGACAAGAAGAAGGAAATTCTGTCTATGCCAGTAAGACTTTGTGCTCCTTTAAGACAGACTTTCTTTTAAAGTGTTTTTACTTGCAGACCTTAACTGAGTTTCTTACATAGGAATGCTAAATCTTTTTTTTTTTGTACCTTTTTAAAATTGGAGATTAAAGAGAACATTCTTTTTCTTTTCTTTTTTTGGAGACAACGTTTTACTCTGTTGCCCAGGCTGGAGTACAGTGGTGGATCTCAGCTGACTGCAGCCTTGACCTCCCAGGCTCAGGTGATCCTCCCACCCCAGCCTCTGGAGAAGCTTGGGACTACAGGCACATGCCACCATGCCTGGCTAATTTTTTTTTTTTTTTGAGATGAGGTCTCGTTCTTGTCCCCCAGGCTGGAGTGCAATGGCGTGATCTCGGCTTACTGCAACCTCCACCTCCAAGGTTCAAGCGATTCTCCTGCCTCAGCCTCCCGAGTAGCTGGGATTACAGGCGTCTGCCACCATGCCTGGCTAATTTTTGTATTTTTAGTAGAGGTGGGGTTTCACCATGTTGGCCAGGCTGGTCTTGAACTCCTGACCTGAGGTGATCCACCCACCTCAGCTTCCCAAGGTGCTGGGATTACAGACGTGAGCCACTGCACCTGGCCAATGTTTTGTATTTTTTATAGAGATGCGGTTTCAGCATGTTGCTCATGCTGGTCTTGAATTCCTGGGCTCAAGCAGTCCTCTCCTATTGGCCTCCTAAAATGCCGGGATTACAGGTGTGAGCCATTGCTGCCAGCCTGTTCTTACTTTTAAGAGAGGATGATTTGCATAAAGCTAGTCAAATATATTAAGTATTGTTTGCCATGAAAACTGGTTGAGTATCTCTTTCTTTGTGAAAGAAAATTATGCTAAGACACACCAAGATATTTGCCTCCAAAGATTCTTTTGAGTTACATTTGGACCTTGGGAAATATCTGTGATAATTCTTAAGTCTGACCTTGCTTGACAGAACTAAAATTGGTTAACGGTAAATGCGAATGTAGTTAGTTCATCTTGGGCATCAGAGAGCATTGTAAAACTTGCTAATTATAGTATCCTCTGAGTAAGCTGATCCATCTTTTGGCAAAAATTATGTTGTGAGAGACTTTTCATTTGAAAATTTCTTGGCTACTGACTTTAATTAGCAGTTGATACTAGAATGGACTTTCATGGCGTTCACAGCCTGGGATGGCCCACGTCATCTTTAACCTTGAACTCACTGATGTTTGAATTATTCAGTAGCTGGCTTAGCCATATTGAATTTCAAATAAGTGTTCAATGGTGTTAGTTACTTATTTCTAAATGGTACACAACATTTTAAATGTTTTGCTATTGATTTATAGTGACTAGTTTCCTGTCTGATTTGAGAGGTTCTGACAAATTTTTTAAGAAATGGATGTAACCATGAAATCCTAAGTAGAGGACCCAGCTAACCTGTACCCACAATCCTGATACACTTGAGACTGTGAGATAAATTTGTGTTGTTTTATTCTGTATGATAATAAAACTTACAAATAAAATGAATCTGTGTTGTTGAAGCTGCATAATAGCAATCTAATAGTAATACTAAAATTTGGGAGTATGATAGAGCAGGGTTGTCTTAAAGAAGGTTTGACTTGGGTATTCTAGGACGATGGATAAAGTATTTACAAGTGAATGATCGGCAAGGGCATTCCAGGCAGAGGGAAGAGCTGAAAAGAGGAAAGACTGAAAAATGCAGCGTATGTTTGATGCATGGCTAATTAACCTGTGAGTGTTGTGTAGCATAATGGAAGACAAAACCAGAAAAGGTCGGTTGGGCCAAAATGTGGAGGGTTATAGAAGCTGGGCTGACAAGTATTTTCTGGGAGTAATAGAGAATTTTTAGGCAGGAGATAATAATGTATCTGTTTTAAGCAGATTGGGGCATTTGTGGGATTTATTATAGAGGGCAGGAAAGACTGGTGGGAGGAGATAAAACTTTCTTTTGTCGTCTTTCACATTTTTCTCATTGCATACCTTTTTTTACCTATACTTATCCCACTTGCAGCTTTTCAACACCTTTACTTAAGATTTTTTTGTTTTGTTTTTTGTAGAGCCTGTGTTGCCCAGGCTGGTCTCAAACTCCAGGCCTCAATCTATCCTTATTCCTTGGCCTCCCAAAACACTGGGATTACAAGTGTGAGCCTCTGCACCTGGCCTTCTACTTTTCTGCGAGCCTCCTGAAGTTTCCACACATAAAAGAGGTCTTGGAATACTCTGTAGCACAATACAATTCTCATTTTTTTTTAGATAGAACCTGTCTCTACTAAAAATACAAAAATTAGTGCCAGGCGCGGTGGCTCACGCCTGTAATCCCAGCTCTTTGGGAGGCCAAGGCGGGCGGATCACCTGAGGTTGGGAGTTCGAGACCAGCCTGACCAGCATGGAGAAACCCCGTCTCTACTAAAAATACAAAATTAGCCAGGCATGGTGGCACATGCCTGTAATCCCAGCTACTTGGGAGGCTGAGGCAGGAGAATCGCTTGAACCTGGGAGGCGGAGGTTGTGGTGAGCTGAGATTGCACCATTGCACTCCAGCCTGGGCAACAAGAGCAAAACACTGTCTCAAAAAAATAAAAAAAAAATTAGCTGGACGTGGTGGCGCGTGCCTGTAATCCCAGCTACTCAGGACGCTGAGGCAGGAGAATCACTTGAACCTGGGAGGTGGAGGTTGCAATGAGCCGAGATCATACCTGTGCACTCCAGCCTGGGCAACAGAGCAAGACTCTATCTCAGATTCTTTTAAAAAAGTAAATATTGATATATTTATTTCTGACAAAAAATTAAGGATACTTTTGCCAGGTGAAAAGCTGTCTTGTTATTGGTTTGGAATATAAAAGTCATACCTTGAGAACAGATGTGGGGGACAAGAGGGGCAACCATTTCCCAGTCTTAGTATTGGATTGCTTCATATGTATTTCTCAGCTCTGTTTTCTAGCAGATAAAAGGTAGTAAATGACAAAGTTTTAATGAAAATGATTTTTCAAACTAGATTTCTTATAGACCTCCCATAGGGAATTTGCTGATTCTGAAAGTTGTCTATGAAAATTGAAGTTTTGTCAGGCGCAGTGGCTCATGCCTGTAATCCCAGCACTTTGGAGGCCAAGGCGGGCGACTCACGAGGTCAAGAGATGGAGACCATCCTGGCCAACATGGTGAAACCTTGTCTCTACTAAAAATACAAAACTTAGCTGGGCGTGGTGGCATGCACCCGTAGTCCCAGCTACTTGGGAGGCTGAGGCAGGAGAATCGCTTGAACCCAGGAGGCAGAGGTTGCAGTGAGCCAAGATGGCGCCACTGCACTCCAGCCTTGCGACAGAGCGAGACTCCACCTCAAAAAAAAAAAAAAAGAAAAAAGAAAATTGAAGTCTTAAGCTTTAATGACAATCTTAAAAATTGTATATTTTTAACTTCCTGTGTGATTTTGGTATCCATATTTAATGGAGTAGGCAGACAATAGGGAAATGATGCGTTTGTACCAAGTAAAGGTCACAGCTGTCATCATGGTGCATTAATGGAATGAAGGTTTCACCATAGTTTGAATAAGAAAATGTGGTTACACGTGTCCACAGAGCACATCTCAGGTCTCATGCAGTTGGAGTTAAGACCATTGTGATGTAGTTAACAGTCCAGCGTTAGTTTAATTTTTACTTAAAATGGAAGCTCATTGTTTTATATTGGATTTTTTTTTTTTTTTTTTTTTTTTTTTTGAGACGGAGTCTTGCTCTGTCACCCAGGCTGGAGTCCAGTGGCGCGATCTCGGCTCACTGCAAGCTCTGCATCCTGGGTTCACGCCATTCTCCTGCCTCAGCCTCCTAAGTAGCTGGGACTACAGGCGCCCGCCACCATGCCTGGCTAATTTTTTTTTTTTTTGTATTTTTAGTAGAGACAGGGTCTCACCGTGTTAGCCAGGATGGTCTCGATCTCCTGACCTCGTTATCCGCCTACCTTGGCCTCCCAAAGTGCTGGGATTACAGGCGTGAGCCACCACGCCCAGCCTATATTTGGATTTAAAAAAAATTTTTATAACATTTTTATTTTTATTTTGTTTCTGAGACAGAGTCTCGCTCTGTCATCCAGGCTGGAGTGCAGTGGCATGATCTCAGCTCACTGCAATCTCTGCCTCCTGGGTTCAAGCAATTTTTGTGCTTCCACCTCCCAAGTAGCTGGGACTTAAAGGTGCGCGCCACCACACCAGGACAATTTTTTGTATTTTAGTGGAGATGGGGTTTTGCCATGTTGGCCAGGCTGGTCTCAAACTCCTGGCCTCAAGTGAGCCACCCACTTCAGCCTCCCAAAGTGCTGACATTACAAGCGTGAGCCACCATGCCTGGCCTAAATTGGATTTAAATTGTAAATTTTAGCCTGGTGCGGTGGCTCACACCTGTAATCTCAGCACTTTTGTAGGCTGAGGTGGGTGGATCACCTGAGGTCAGGAGTTCGAGACCAAGCTGGCCAACATGGCAAAACCCCTTTTCTAATCAAAATACAAAAAATTAGCTAGGTGCGGTGGCAGGCGCCTGTATTCGGGAGGCTGAGGCAGAAGAATCGCTCGAATCCAGGAGGTGGAGATTGCAGTGAGCTGAGATCGCGCTATTGTACTGCAGCCTGGGCAACGAGAGCGAAACTCCGTCTCAAAAAAAAAAAAAAATTGTAAATTGTAAATATGTTTTATTTTTGTAATTGTGTAAGAGCAATAAGCCTAAGAGATTTATACCTAGTATAATTTAGTATCATTTGTGTGTATGTTCATATAAAATGTAAAATGTTGTAACTTAACCTGGTACAGTGTGACCCCTGAGAATTTTTTTTTTTAAATAGTACTAAAGTTTGAGATATACTACTTTGACTTGATGTTTTCTGTGATTAAGTAAAAGATTACCCTGTGCCCAAAACTAAATATAACTTTTCAAAACATGTTCTTCCTTTTATAGTTCATTTTCCTTTCTTTTATCACAATTTAAAAAGCTAGAGTCATCATCTGTGTTTTTAAGGTCACCTGCCACTAAAAGTCTTAATGGATTTTTGAAATCTCTTTTCTCATTTCCATTTCCAATTCCTGTGCCTTAGTTGCTGTAGTTTGCGAAACTGGATTTCATTACCTGTCTATTAAAGCTCTCTCCAATCCATCTGACCACCCTGTTTTTGTTAGAATAATCTTAAAATGTGAGTCTCGTTGTAATGTTTCTTTCTTAGTTTTTTGCTAACTCCTCACCTGCCAGTAAGGTAAATTGAAGGCGTATCGCCTGGCATTAAGAGTGTTTTCTTATGATCTTGCCCTTGCCTCTGTTCAGTTCTCTTTTACTGTTGCTGCTTTTGTGCCCAGTGCTCCACCGTTAACGAGTGGTTCATGAAACATGCCATTTCTTCTGGACATACCTGTTTTGTTGCTTACTTTTTCTGAAATTCCCACACCTTTCTTCACTTAATTGAGTTCACTTCTATTTTTATTTTATTTTATTGTATTTTTTTTTTTTTTGAGATGGAGTCTCGCTCTGTTACCCAGGCTGGCGTGCAGTGGCGTGATCTCAGCTTACTGCAGCCCCCACCTCCCGGGTTCAAGCAGTTGTCCTGCCTCAGCCTTCCGAGTAGCTGGGATTACAGTCACCTGCCACCATACCCAGCTAATTTTTGTACTTTTAGTAGAGATGGAGTTTCACCATGTTGGCCAGGCTGGTCTCGAACTCCCGACCTCAAGTGATCTGCTTGCTTTGGCCTCCCAAAGTGTTGAGATTACAGGTGTGAGCCACGGCACCCGACCTGTTTTTTTGTTTTGTTTTGTTTTTGTTTTTGAGACAGAGTCTTACTCTGTTCCCGAGGCTGGAGTGCAGTGGCGCGATCTCGGCTCTTTGCAAGCTCCGCCTTCTGGATTCAGGCCATTCTCCTGCCTTAGCCTCCCGAGTAGCTGGGACTACAGGTGCCTGCCACCACGCCTGGCTAATTTTTTGTATATTTTAGTAGAGACAGGGTTTCGCCGTGTTAGCCAGGATGGTCTTGATCTGCTGACCTCATGATCTACCCGCCTCGGCCTCCCAAAGTGCTGGGATTACAGGTGTGAGCCACTGTGCCTGGCCCCTGTTTTTATTTTAAGTTCCAGAGAACTCATGTCCGGATAAGTTAATTACTTCCTGCTGTGAGAATTTTTTTTTTTTTTTGGAGATGGAGTCTCGCTCTGTTGCCAGGCTGGAGTGCAGTGGCGCGATCTTGGCTCACTACAACCTCTGCCTCCTGGGTTCAAGCGATTCTCCTGCCTTAGCCTTCTGAGTAGATGGGACTACAGGGGCGTACCACCACGCCCGGCTAATTTTTTGTATTTTTTAGTAGAGATGGGGTTTTACCGTGTTAGCTAGGATGGTCTCGATCTCCTGACCTTGTGATCCACGTGCTTCGGCCTTCCAGAGTGCTGGGATTAAAGGCGTGAGCCACTGTGCCCGGCTGTGAGCTGCTTTAGTTTGCATTTTAAAATTTGGTTGTATTTAAAAATATTGTATTGTAATGAATTTGTCCATCTGTCTTTCCTACCAAAATAAGAGCTTTTTTGAGGGCAAGAATTAATGTCTTCTAAAAATCTTACGTTTTGGCTGGGCGTGATGGCTCACACCTGTAATCCCAGCACTTTGGGAGGCCGAGGCAGGTGGATCACCTGAGGTCAGGAGTTCAAGACCAGCCTAGCCAACATGGTGAAACCCTATGTCTACTGAAAGTAAAAAAAAAAAAATTAGCAGGGCATGGTGGTTTGTACCTGTAATCCCAGCTACTTGGGAGGCTGAGGCAGGAGAATCACTTGAACCTGAGAGGCAGAGGTTGCAGTGAGCTGAGATCATGCCACTGCACTCCAGCCTGGCCGACAGAGCGGGATTCTGTCTCAAAAAACAAACAAACAAACAAAACCACAAATTATTCTTTATCCTTAACACCTGTTGTGTAGTATGCACACAATAGGCATTTAATAAATACTTGTCAAATTAATTTGAAATGTATTTTTTGACTAATTTTTCCCCTTCTTGTGGAACTGGATATTTAGATCTTGGCCGTCTAATGTATTAAAGATGGATTAAGTGGTTGGAGAATGGAATCAGGAATCATATGTACCATCATACTTTTGTAATTGTTTATATCCTGATACATGCCATTGTAATATAAGTGAAGCTCCTTAGTTTTTCGGTGCCTTAAAACACTGTAATTTCTAAATTTCTTTGTTTGGCTTTGTATCAGTTTTAGGTATTTTCTTAATTATATCCAATCAAACATTTTGTTAGCCCTCCTTATTGATGTCCTAGACATACATAGATTTACTTCACTTTAGTGTTTGTGAAACTTGGTTCTAAGTTAGGATTAATGCATTATTTTTTCACTCTATTAATACTGATATTTAAAATTTAGTTAGGAGAATGTGTAACATAAGTTTCCTCCGTTTCACAAAAGTTAAATGAATTTTTTAAATATAGGAATAATATGACATTAAATTAGCTGGAAAATAGAGGAAAATAATCCCTCATCATTCTACCATCTGATACAGTACAGTACTTTGGAATCTGATCTTCCCCAGTCTGCCTGCTATCATTTACTTTGTTAAGTTTGATTTGTTGGGTTTTGTTGAGGATTTTTGCATCTATGTTCATGAGAGATATGGGTCTGTAGTTTGATTTCTTCTAAAACTGGCCTGATAGAATGAGTTAGTAAGTACAGATGCTTCTTGATTTACATAGGGTTATGTCCCAAGAGGCTTATTGTAAATTGAAGATATCCTAAGTTGAAAATACGTGGCTGACTAGGAGCTTGGTTTTGCTGTTGCTGCCCAGCATCACAAGTATGGTTTCTACTGAATGTGTATGGCTTTTGCAGCAACATAAACTTGAAAAATCAAATCACTGTAATTGGGGACATTTTGTATTCCTTCTGTTTCTGTTTTCTGGAAGATATTGTAGAGAATTGATATAGTTCTTTAAGTATTTTGTGGAGTTCACTAGTAAACCCATCTGGGCCTGAGGCTTTCTGTTTTGAAAGGTTATTAATGATTAATTCAGTTTCTTTGATAGATGATAGGCCTATTCAGATTATCTGTTTTTTCTTGTGTGAGTTTTGTCAGATTGTGTCTTTCAAGGAATTGGCCTTTTCTTCTGTGTTATTAAGTATGTGGGCATAGAATTGTTCAAGATTTCTTTATTTTTTCAATGTTCATGGGAACTGTAGTGATATTTCTTCTTTCATTTGTGGTACTACTAATTTGTTTGTGTCTTCTCTCTTTTTTACTTAGCCTGGCTAGAGGCTTATTGATTTTATTGGTCTTTCCAGGAAGCAGCATTTGGTTTTGTTAGTTTTTTCGTATTGATTTCTTGTTTTCAATTTCATTGTTTTCTGTTATAATTTTTGTTTTCTTATTTGTTACTTTGGATTTAATTTGCTTTTCTAGTTTTTAAAAATGGAAGCTTAAGTTTTGATTTTAGTTCTTTTTGTGTTTTGTTTTTTTGGAGGCAGGGTCTAGCTCTCTGTCGCCCAGGCTGGAGTGCAGTGGTGTGATCTCAGCTCACTGCAACCTCTGCCTCCTGGGCTCAAGCAATCCTCCCACCTCAGCCTCCCAAGTAGCTGGGACTACAAGCATGCACCACCATGCCCAATTAATTTTTGTATTTTTTGTAGGGATGGGATTTCGCCATGTTGCCCAGGCTGGTCTTGAACTCCTGAGCTCAAGTGATCACCAGCCTCGGCCTCCGAAAGTGCTGGGATTACAGGCATGAGCACCACACCCAGCATAGATCTTTTTTTTTTCCTCTGAGATGGAGTCTCTCTCTGTCGCCCAGGCTGGAGTGCAGTGGCATGATCTCGGATCACTGCAACCTCTGCCATCCGGGTTCAAGCAATTCTCTTGCCTCAGCCTCCTGAGTAGCTACCATTACAGGCATGTGCCACCACGCCCGGCATTTTTGTATTTTTAGTAGGTACGGGGTTTCACCATGTTGGCCAGGCTGGTCCGGAACTCCTGACCTCATATCCACCTGCCTTGGCTTCCCAAAGTGCTGGGATTACAGGCGTGAGCCACCGCACCCAGCCAGATCTCTTTTTCTAATACATGCATTCAGTCTTTAAATTTCCCTCTAAGCACTGCTTTTGCTATATCCCACAAGCTTTGATGTTATATATATATTTTTTTGTTTCCATTTTTTTTTATTTTTGAGGCGGAGTTTCGCTCTTGTTGCCCAGGCTGGAGTGCAGTGGCGCGACCTCGGCCCACTGCAACCTCTGCCTCCCGGGTTCAAGTGATTCTCCTGCCTTAGCCTCCGGAGTAGCTGGGATTACAGGCATGCGCCACCATGCCCGGTTAATTTTGTATTTTTAGTAGAGATGGGGTTTCTCCATGTTGGTCAGTACTCCCGACGTCAGGTGATCCGGCCGCCTCGGCCTCCCAAAGTGCTGGGATTACAGGTGTGAGCCACCATGCCTGAGCATTTATTTTATTTTATTTTTAAGAGACAATGTTTTGCTATGTTGCCTAGGCTGGTCTCAAACTCCTGAGCTCAAGCAATCTGCACACCTTGGCCTTCCATAGTGCTGGGATTAGAGGTGAGCCGCTGTGCCCGGCAAAATATTTTAAACTTATTTTGAGATTTCTTATTTGACCCATGTGTTATTTAGAAGTGTGCTGTTTAGTTTCCAAATATTTAGGGGTTTTCCAACTATCTTAATGATTTCTGGTTAAATTCCACTGTAGTCTGAGAACAGACATGTATGATTTGTTTCTTTTAATTTGTTAAGGTGTGTTTTATGGCTCAGAATGTAGTCTATCTTGGTGAATATTCCATGTGAGCTTAAGAAAAGTCTGTTTACTTTGCAGAGTCTTTAGCTCCTCTCTGCGTTTTGTCCAGGTTGTATAGCTACATTCAGTGGGAGTGACAGGGTGGAATATGCTTAGTCCATTTTAAGAATTGGAACTCATCCCTATATTTTGAGGTATTTCTTTCGGAGAGATTGGAAATATGGTTACTTGTAATTTGCTTCTTTGATACGTTGCTTTATTTAAGGTATATACCTATTTGTAATGCCACCAGCAATGTATGAAATCACTAGTTTTGCCACATAAGGGATATATTTTAAGGGTAACACTTTTTGCTTAAAAGTTATAAGACAGCTTGGAAGTTCAGCTATAATTAAATAATATTGCCTTAAATGGTTAGAAAAGTATAAAATATAAGTAATTAAATATATATTTCAGTCTGAGGTTTTTCATGTAAAATTCAGGTTTCTTAGCTGGGTGTGGTGGTGTGTGCCTGCAGTCCCAGCTACTTGGGAGGCTAGGTTAGGAGAATCAACTTGAGCCTAGCAATTCAAGGCCAGTCTGGGCAACATAGCAAAACCCTGTCTCAAAAAGAAAAGGCCAGGCGTGGTGGCTCACACCTGTAATCCCAGCGCTTCAGGAGGCCAAGGCAGGCAGATCACCTGAGGTAAGGAGTTTTGAGACCAGCCTGGCCAACATGGTGAAACCCCGTCTCTACTAAAAATACAAAAATTAGCTGGGTGTGGTGGCAGGCGCCTGTAATCCCAGCTACTCGGGAGGCTGAGACAGGAGAATTGCTTGAACCCAGGAGACGGAGGTTCCAGTGAGCCGAGATCACACCACTGCACTCCAGCCTGGGCAATAAAGAGCGAGACTCCATCTCCAAAAAAAAAAAAAAAATTAGATTTCTACTTACGTTCACTTTATTTGTCACCATTTCTTCCCTTTATCAATTTCCCTCTTTATATTAGGCTTTAAATTTTTTTTTTTTGAGGCGGGGTCTCGCTCTGTCGCCAGGCTGGAGTACAGTGGCGTGATCTCAGCTCACTGCAGCCTCCGCCTCCTGGGTTCAAGCAATTCTCCTGCCTCAGCCTCCTGAGTAGCTGGGAGTACAGGTATGTACTACCACGCCCGGCTAATTTTTGTATTTTTAGTAGAGATGGGGTTTCACCATGTTGGCCAGAATGGTCTCCATCTCTTGACCTCATGATCCGCCCACCTCAGCCTCCCAAAGTGCTGGGATTACAGGCGTGAGCCATTGTGCCTGTCCAAAAAAAAATTTTTTTTTTTTTTTGGAATGTAGACACAATGGAGATGAGGAGGACATGGCTGCTATGGAGTAAAGGAAGGCACCAAACTAATATACCCGGTTTGTGATGGAGAGGCCATTTTGTCATTTTGTTCTGAAACCTTTTCTGGCTTTCGCTATATAGGATAAGGGATTTAGGCAGAGACCAAGGGAAATATTATAAATATTATCAATTTAAAAGAATCAGTTGTTTGTATCTGTAAGCTAATGGAGGGAGCAGTTCTTTGGTAATTGTCTTAGGTTCGCTTAGGGTAGGATCAATTTGCAAACACTAAATCTCAGTGTCATATATGTGGAGATTCATTGTATTCAGCATTGAATGTAGTTAAATATTTATTGAGCACTTACTATATGCCAGGCACTGCTCTAGGATCTGTGGATGTAGCAGTGAACAAATGAGGAAAAATAAAATCCCTGCCTACAGAACTGCTTAAACCCAGGAGATAGAGATTGCAGTGAGTTGAGACCGCGCCACTGCACTCCAGCCTGGGTGACAGAGAGAGACTCTGTCTCAAAAATAAATAAAATAAAATAAAGTAAAATAAAAATCCCTGCCTGCATGGAATTTAACAGATTTGTAGGTAGGGGTGAAAGATGGACAACATGGTAAATAAGTAAATTACAGTATATAGTATGTTAGTGGTAAGTGCTGTGGGGAAAGTGAAAGCTGGATGACTGGGGAATGCTGGGCTGGTTTTGAAGTAGTTCGTGATTTAAATAGGATAGTCAGGGAATGCTTCACTGAGAAGTTGACATTTGACCAAACATATGAAGGCAGTGAAGCTTTGCATACATCCAGGAAAAGAGCGTTCTACATTGGTGGAGTAGATGGTGCAAAGATTCTGAAGCAGGAGAGTGCCTGCCTTAGTCTAGGAATGATGAGGTAGCCAGTGTAGCTCCATGATTAATTGGAAGTTTATTCCACGAATGCAAAGCTACTTTGTTATTAGAAAAATATTGATTCATTAAATTACTAGGTCAATGATGAAAACTATATGCAGAGATGGGTACATATAGGTACAATCCTTGTCCCAGCTACCCAGACAAAGATTTTATTTCCTAGACTCTCTTGTGTCTAGATAGTGCCAAGTGACTATTTTTGCAGTAGAATGTGAGCAGAAGTAATACGTGTCACTTCCTAGCCAAGGTACTCAAGAATAGGGTGTGCTTTTTCTCTGTGTTCTCTTTTGGGGTTGGATACAGAAGAACTCCATGGCTCACCACATGGCTCACCACATGGCTTACCACATATTGGAAAGAGCCTTGTTTTTTGAATTGCTTTATTGAGAAAAGCTGCCCATCTCCCCCCCCCCGCCCCCCCCAAAAATCTAACAGCCAATAACACAATGATGATAAATTGCTAGAGACAAGTATATGAAAAAATTAGACATGTGATGAAGAAACTTGCTATCATTACTGTTATTTGGCATTATTCTAGAACTTGTAGCCTATGTAGTATTAAAAATGAGGTATAGGACACTGTCCCAGCTGCCACCTAGACTCGTCTCCATCGAGGACCCCTTTGACCAGAATGACTGGGCCACTTGGACCTCGTTCCTCTCAGGGGTGGACATCCAGATTGTGGGGGATGACCTGACAGTCACCAACCCCAAGAGGATTGCCCAGTCC
Organism: Homo sapiens; assembly: GCF_000001405.40. NCBI lineage: Eukaryota > Metazoa > Chordata > Mammalia > Primates > Hominidae > Homo > Homo sapiens. The sequence continues at coordinate 25,856,774 of NC_000002.12, read as the reverse complement.
TTTGAGAAGAAGGTCTGCAGCTGTCTGCTGCTGAAGGTCAACCAGATCGGCTCGGTGACTGAATCGATCCAGGTATGCAAACTGGCTCACTCTAACGGCTGAGGGTTGATGGTGAGCCACCACTCTGGGGAGACTGAGGACATTTTCATTGCTGACCTTGTGGTGGGGCTCTGCACAGGACAGATCAAGACTGGCGCCCCCTACCCCTTGGAGCGTCTGGCGAAATACAACCAACTCATTTGAGGATTGAGGAGGCTCTTGGGGACAAGGCTGTCTTTGCTGGATACAAGTTCCGTAACCCGAAGGCCAAGTGAGAAGCTGGAGACTCCAGGACTCCACTGGACAGACCCAGGTCTTCCAGACCTGCTTCCTGAAATAAACACTGGTGTCAAAAAAAAAAAAAAAAAAAAAGTATAGGCCAGGTGAGCAGTGGCTCATGCCTGTAATCCCAGCACTTTGGGAGGCTGAGGTGGGCGGATCACCTGAGGTTAGGAGTTTGAGACCAGCCTGGCCGACATGGTGAAACCCCATCTCTAATAAAAATACAAAAATTAGCTGGGCATGGTGGTACAGGCCTGTAGTCCCAGCTACTTGGGAGGCTGAGGCAGGAGAATTGCTTGAACCCAGGAGGCGGAGGTTGCAGTGACCCGAGATTGCACTGCTGCACTCCAGCCTGGCGACAAAGTGAGACTCCGTCTCAAAAAACAAAAAACAAAAATTAGGTATGGTGGTGCATGCCTGTAATCCCAGCTACTCGGGAGGCTGAGGTCAGAGAATTGCTTGAACCCGGGAGACGGAGGCTGTGGTGAGCTGAGATCACGCCACTGCACTGCAGCCTGGCCGACAGAGCGAGACTCTGTCTCTAAATAAATAAATAAATAAATAAATAAATGCATTATCAAGATTGTGTTTCTGTCTCTCTCTCTTTTTTTTTTTTTTGAGACGGAGTCTCGCTCTGTCGCCCAGGCTGGAGTGCAGTGGCACGATCTCGGCTCACTGCAACCTCTGCCTCCCGGGATCAAGCAGTCCACTCAGCCTCTTGAGTAGCTGGGACCACAGGTGTGTGCCAGCATGCTCGGCTAATTTTTATATTTTTATTTATTTATTTGAGACAAGAGTCTCACTCTGTCGCCCAGCCTGGAGTGCAGTGGCATGATCTCAGCTCACTGCAACCTCCACCTCCTGGGTTCAAGTGATTCTCCTGCCTCAGCTTCCCAAGTTGAGATTACAGGCATGCACCACCACACCCAGCTCATTTTTGTGTTTTTAGCAGAGACGGGGTTTTGGCATGTTGGCCAGGCTAGTCTCAAACTCCTGACCTCAGGGAATCTGCCCGCCTTGGCCTTCCAAAGTGCTGAGATTACAGGCATGAGCTTAATTTTTATATTTTTAGTAGGGATAGAGTTTCACCATGTTTCCCAGGCTGGTCTCTAACTCCTGGGCTCAAAGCAATCCACCCACCTCGGCCTCCCAAGAAGTGCTGGGATTACAGATGTGAGCCACTGCGCCTGGCCTGTTACCAAGTTACTATCTATAAAGGTGTATCATTTTACCCTCTCCACTGTTTAGTGTGTATGTGCCTGTCTGATTCAACTCTTGAAGAATTTAATATTACCAGTTTAAAAATCTTTGCTATTTTGTTGAGTGATAGATAAACTTTGAGGTATCTGTCAAAAGGAGTAGGGAAGGTATGTCATATACAGAGCAGCATGAGCGAAGGTGGCATGCTGGCAGTGTGTGAGCGGCACTGTCTGCCAGAGCTGAGGAGGTTCTTGAGGGATATGTGTGTTGCAGGACACTGAAAGTTTCTATTTGGATGTGTTTCTTAATGGCTTGTGCTCTACAGTAAGCCTGTTCTTGACATCAGCTCCTCAAGACAGACACTGGCAGCAGTCTCTTAAAATGGCTTACTATAGAGGATGAGTGGAATAGGTCATAGTCTCTGCTGCAGTAGCTGGTTCCAAGGCCGTATTAATATTCATCATCTCCTTCTGCCACTGCCTAGTCTAGATTTCCGTCACTCATGGCCAGACTGCAGCTGATCAAGGTTGCTTGCCTGAAGCCATCATTCCTGAGGAGTCTAAGCCCCTATTTCTCTTTTCCATATCATGCCTTTGCCATATGCTGTACTTGCCTTTTATCATTAGATGTGGAAGCACTGAGGAGCACCTACTAGGTTAAGCTACAAATTGCTGTCACCTTCAGAGCCACCGAAGTGGTTGGCTCTTCTTTTTGAGGAATTATAACAGGGTTCTGAGAGTTGGATTCTGCTGATGACAAGTTGGACAACTCAGCAGCAGCAGTGGCTCTTTTCATTAATTAGCTGACAAAACCTTAGGCAAGTTATTTAATTTCTCTGCACTTCAGTTTTCACATCTGAAAAAAAATGGGCTGATAGTATCTACCTCATAGGTTTATTGTAAAGGTTAAATAAGCTAATATATCTAAATCACTTAGAATAGTGCTTGGCAGTTAAATGCTAGATAAGTATTAACTGTTAGTGTTATTAACTCTAAAGAGTTTGAAGAGAGTTTGGTTGAGAGCTTTTTTTCTTGAACTAGGGAGTGTGTATAACCTCCAGACTTTTTGGATAATTAAAAGAATCCAAGCTAGGAAAGACTAAACCCAAGTGACTTGATAGAGCTGTTCAGAATTGAGGGACCCCTAGGTAAACTATGCCCATGAGCTTACAATGTCAGCTTCTGTAATCTTCTCTGTATATCTGTAGGTGCCTCTCTGTATAGGTTTCGTATTTAAGTATTCTCAGCTACTTTTACACTCAAGTTTCTGCGCCCAAATCTGTAAATTTATTTGCATTTTCCCTCACCTTTTATCCTTTTTTAAAAAGAGGCATTTTTACTAGTGTCTGAAGCTAATCTTGCCACATATGTTCCTAATTCCATCAGCCAACCATTAAGTGTTTTAGATCTGTCATATAATAGGCACTAGTAATACTAGATGAATAAGGCTGGGCATGGTGGTTCACACTTGTAGTCCTAGCTACTTGGGAGGCTGAGGCAGGAGGATTGCTTGAGCCCAGGAGTTCGAGGCTGCAGTGAGCTATGATCATGTACTCCAGCTATAAAACTGCATGCCACCTTGGGCGACAGAGTGAGTCCCTGTCTCAAAAACAAAAAAACGGTGCACTGTGATAAGCAGTACTGGGGATGTATACGGTGCTGCTATAGGAGCATGGCTATTTTTGAAGCCATGGGAGGATGAAAATGTCCAAGGAGAGTAGACACTGAGGAGAAAAGAACCCTGAAGAAGACCAACATTAAAAGACTGTGGAGAATGAGGAAGTTGCTAGTAGAGAGGTAGAGTAGAGTGAACCACAAGAGTCTAGTGTGACAGAAGCTGAACAGAAAAGTGCATCTCAGGACACAGGTAGTGATCAGTAGATAACTGCTAAACAGCCAGGTAAGGACTTTTTCCCTCTTTCCTCCAAAGGCTCTGTTAGATCACATTTCTGTCTAAATACCATGTGTTCCTTGTTACTCTCATGTGTTGAGCTCCTGAACTCAGGTGAGTGAGTGTATAGTGAGTTTGGTAGCTGAGGGAAACCGCATCCTCTGAATTCATTTTGTTCTTGAGTATCAAATCGGAACTAGTACCTCAAGCTCAGATAATGAGGGATTTGTCAAAAACCGTATGTGAAATTACTTGCCACTCATGGTGGAAAGGGGGAAGATGGGATATGCAGGGATATTTGGGTCTCCCTTATGCTGGTTCAGTGCAACTTCATTTGACAAAACAATTATTCCTCAATTCCACATGTTCTGTTTCCTTTATTGTCCTAGAAAGAGTTGTTTTAATCCCCTATTACTACCTTTAGACTCCCAGTCAGTGCTAAATCCCCTCACATCTGATTTCTTCCCTCCGCATTAAGTGGAATCCGAATTTACAAAGCTAATTAAACATCCCTTTGTTGACAAATACAGGGGATACATTTCTGTTGTTATCTCAGCTTCTAGGCAGCATTTGACATTGTTGACCACCTAAACCTTAGAATACTTTTGTCTTTTCTGAAACAGCAGTGTTTTCTGGTTTTCTTCTCATCTCTCTGGTCATTTAGTTTATTTCCTAGTTTTTCTTCTCTGGCTCTTAAACGTTGATATATTGTTCTATAGCAGAAGCCCTCATCTCTTCTCACTCTATATTGGCTGATCTGATTTACTGGTATGGCACAAGTTACCCTAATTAAAGCTTTTGGGCAGTAAATGAGCCTTTTAACACTGATAGAACTTTATATATAGATCACTGTGTTACTTATTTGGACATTTAAAATGTAGCAGTCATATAGATTATACAAAATTCAGACTCTGCACATCTGTATATCTGGAATGAACTCATAATGTAATAGTAATTGAAATATTCCCGTTATTTAGGCTAGAATCAAACTTGAATCTTAGAGGCAACTCAGTTATTCTCGAGTGTTAGAAAATATAATTTTTAAATCCTTTTTATTAACTGAATTGGGAATCTACAAGCTAAGAAGTAAATATATTAAGCACCCTTTAAAAATCTAGCTTTAAATCTATGTAGTGTTGATTTTAGTTATTCTGAGTGGTTATTCATATTGTCATAAAGTAGTTTCTAAAAATTGTACTTTAAAGTTTCCATGAGCAGTTCAGTGGAATGAGGTTTGTTTGATAAACACTGCCCTCCTGTGGTTAACGTAAGCTAACAGTTTTGCAAAACTACTGTAGTCATTTCCGCTTGTGGAAGATAATGTAATGGTTCATACAGCATGTTTGCTCAGTAATATATGTGGCCAAGAAAGGGTTTTTTTCCCTCATTCTCTCCCTCTTGGTTTTTTCCTAGTGTGTCTGCACATTCTTCTCATTTCTATCCATGCACATTTTCTTTCTTTTTTTGGTGGGGGAGGCAGAGTCTCATTGTGTCACCGAGGCTGGAGTCCAGTGGCACGATCTCGGCTCATGGCAACCCCCACCTCCCAGGCTCAAGCGGTTCTCGTGCCTCAGCCTCCCGAGTAGCTGGGATAACAGGCGTGTGCCACCATACCCAGCTAATTTTTGTATCTTTAGTAGAACCAGGGTTTGGTCATGTTGGCCAGGCTGGTCATGACTGAGCCCGGCCCATGCACTTTTTCTTATGTGAATTATAAGAGTTAAATGTAAACGAATACAGAAAAAGTATTAAGCTATCAAAGGGAGGGAAGCTACATTTAAGTGTAAACATGCTTAAAGAAATAGAAAAGACCAGTCAGTTACAATACATAAAATTAATAAAAACTTTAATGGAAAATCAATAGTGATAAAAAGATGAAGAATAAACTGGAAGAAAGGGTTTGTAGTAAATGTGACAGTAAATGTTTCAATATATTTAATGTAAATTAGAGAGCTCTCACAAATGGTATATAAGTGGACAATAGCCAATGAATAGCCAATTCACAAGTGAGGAAATACAGTAATTAAAGCACAAAAGTATATTTAAATCCATAATGCTGCTTTATAAAATGATACTCATATTAATAGTGGTATTTGAAACAGAAATCAAATCACCTTTGGAGCATGCCAGAAAACCAGCTAATTATTCTGAAAACAGTAAATACAAAAATAAGTTACTTATCCTGCCCTTTTCTTTCTTTCTTTTTTTTTTTTTTTGGAGAAGGAGTTTTGCTCTTGTTGCCCAGGCTGGAGTGCAGTGGCACAATGTTGGCTCATTGCAACTTTCGCCTCCCAGGTTCAAGTGATTCTCCTGCCTCCTGCCTCAGCCTTCGGAGTAGCTGGGATTACAGGCATGCGCCCCCACACCTGGCTAATTTTTGTAGTTTTAGTAGAGATGAGGTTTCACCATGTTGGCCAGGCTGGTCTCAAACTCCTGACCTCAGGTGGTCCACCTGCCTTGGCCTGCTGGGATTACAGGCGTGAGCCACCGCATGCAGCCTTATCCTGCTTTTTTAATATGAATTGTACCTCGGGTAACCAAATAGATAGTGGAAAGCATCTATTTTTAGAAGGACTCTGGCTTATAAATGAAAAAGGAACGATAGACTATCAGCACTTTCCAGCCCCTAAATAAAATGATGGAGATAGTGATCATCGGTGGCTGCTAAAACAATTAGATTGAAATGCTGATGGGAAACTTTATAATAAGTGGATCAGATAGACCACATCTATCCCACTGATATATCTTAGCATCTCAAAAAAGAGATCATAGATGTTTTGTGTGTTCTGATGTGGTGTGGTAGGAAGTATACCATAAGCCTATGAAGTTTTCTTGCTAAAATAAAATCTGAATCTGAGCAAGCCTCTAGATTTCGATTCTAATTTTCAGGAAATGCAAGGGACAGAGGACCATACGATTAGCAAAATACAGAATGTGTGTAACTACAATACAGTTTACTAGTTTTTTCTCTAAGTAAATTGGAAGAAAAAGTGAGAGAAACCCATAGATTAAAAGATACTTCAAGACATGTGTTAGCCAAATGCAGTATATGTGGGTCTATTGATTTGAACAAACCAACTGTTTAAAAAAAGTGGTTTTTCCCTGTAAATTTGGGACATTGACTAAATAATTTGATATTAAGGAATTATAGTCATTTTCTGAGGTGTAAAAAAAAAAATTTAAGTCCTTGTTTTCAGAGATATATACTACAATAATAATGAATGAAATGTCTGAGGCTTGCTTCAGAATAACCCAGTTTGTGGACGGAGGGTGTCTGAAGGTATGGAGGAAACAAGATAGGCCATGTGTTGATAATTGTTGAAAATGGGTGATGGGTATGTGGTGGTTCATTGTAATGTTCTCTCTCATTTGGTGAATTTTTTTTAGATTTCCATAATAAAAAGTTTTAAAAGTGTAATATTTAAGTCTTTAATTGAAAAACATTTTTCTTTCTCCCCAAAACTATAGCTTTAAGTAGTCTGAAAAAATTTAGTATAATACTTTTCTAAATTAAAACTAATTTTAGGCCAGGCATGGTAGCTCACATCTGTAATCCTGGCACTTTGGGAGGCTGAGGCAGGTGGAATGTTGAGCCCAGGAATTTGAGACCAGCCTGGACAACATGGCAAAACCCCATCTCTACAAAAAGTACAAAAACCCAGCAGTTCGAGACCGGCCTGGGCAACATGGCAAAACCCTGTCTCTACAAAAAAATACAAAAATTAGCCAGGTGTGGTGGCATATGCCTATAGTCCTAGCTACTCAGGAGACTGAGACAGGAGGATAGCTTGAGCCTGGGAGGCGGAGGTTGCAGTGAGCTGTGATTGCACCACCGCACTCCAGCCTGGGCAATACAGTGAGACCCTGTCTCAAAAAAGACAACAAAAAACTTTTTTTTTTTTTTTTTTTTTGAGTCAGAGTCTCACTCTTTCATCCAGGCTAGAGTACCGTGGCGCTGTCTCGTCTCACTGTAGCCTCTGCCTCCTGGGTTCAAGTGATTCTTGAATTCTTGAACCAGCCTCCTGAGTAACTGGGATTACAGGCGCCCAGCCACCACCACCCCCAGCTAACTTTTTGTGTGTGTTTTTACCAGAGGCAGGGAATCTCCATGTTGGCCAGGCTGGTCTTGAACTTCTGGCCTCAAGTGATCTGCCTTCCTTGGCCTCCCAAAGTGCTGGGATTACAGGTGTGAGCCACTGTTCCTGGCCTAAAAAAAAACTAATTCTAAATGCCTAGCATTTAAAGGAAACTGTGATAAACATTTTTTTAAAAGAAAATAAATATTCCATATATATATATGTAAATTTTTTTTTTTTTTGAGACGGAGTTTCGCTCTTGTCATCCAGGTTGGAGCGCAATGGTGTGATCTCAGCTCACTGCAACCTCCGCCTCCTGGTCCAAGCGGTTTTCCTGCCTCAGCCTCCGTAGTAGCCGGGACTACAGGCACCTGCCACCATGCCCAGTTAATTTTTGTATTTTTAGTAGAGACGGTGTTTCACCACATTGGCCAGGCTGGTCTTGAACTCTTGACTTCTGGTGATCTGCATGCCTTGGCCTCCCAAAGTACTGGGATTACAGGCCTGAGTCACGGTGCCCGGCCTCCTTAAGTAGTTTTAACCAACTGGTTTACTGTGTTTGATTAAAGTACAGAACATCTTGGAAATCAGTGAAATCCTTACTAAAAAGACATAATTTTTGGTCTCCACTTCTATTTATTTATTTATTTGTTTGTTTATTTTTGAGATGGAGTCTTCCTCTTGTCACCCAGGCTGGAGTGCAGTGGCCCAATCTCGGCTCACTGCAAGCTCCGTCTCCAGGGTTCACGCCATTTCCCTGCCTCAGCCTCCCAAGTAGCAGGGACTACAGGCGTCCGCCACCACGCCCAGCTACTTTTTTTGTATTTTTAGTAGAGACAGGGTTTTACCATGTTAGCCAGGATGGTCTCGATCTCCTGACCTTGTGATCCACCTATCTCGGCCTCCCAAAGTGCTGGGATTACAGGTGTGAGCCACCGCGCCCAGCCGGTCTCCACTTCTAATAGCTTAACATCTTATGATGTTTAAAACCCATTAAAATATTAAAATAACTTAATTCCTTGTTTTGCAGAATATATTAGAAAGTATTAATTTTTACCATTAACATGGATAATATAAATATTTTCAGTTCTGAGTGTGGCTCATTCTGATAATGATTTAATAGTCCCCTTTCAGTTAAGATTTGATATGCCAGAGAAATGACACTCTAGAAATATTTATTAATTTCAGTTTTCTGGCTCCTTGGACAGATGTATGTGTGCATACATAGCCATTTCATGGTGTTTATTATTGCCATGTTTTTGCCATTTAAATTGGCAGGAAAAAACCCACATTAAAATGTATTACATTTGATTGCTAGTAAAGTCAAATAATTGTATTTCATTTGCTTCATAAATTTTTATAGGATATTGAATATGTACACAAAAGTGGACAATAGTATAGTGAATATCTTTGTTTATCATTTACCTTCTATAATTATCAATTTATGGCCAATCTTGCTATATTTAAACCTGCAACTTCTTGTATATTTTTTGAAGTCCCAGACATCATATGATTTCATCCGTAAGTACTTCAGTGTGCAAATGCTTTTTCATATGGTTGTGATCCAGTTATATTAACCCTTTTGTGAACTATTTATCCAGGTCCATGGTGTATTTTTGTTTATTTTCAGTACTTTAATACATTTTTAGTATATAAACAATAAATAAATAGAAGTTTTCTGTATGGGCCTTAACTTGGATGAAGGCAGTAAGTTTAACTTTGGACATCTAAAGTTTGAAATGCATGTGGGATATCCAAGTTTTACAAGTTTTTAATAGTTTTTTAACAGACTGCCGCTTCATCAAAACGTGAGTGGTGAAAGCTTGGTGTGGTTAATGTTATTAAGGGAAATTTTGGTGGAGTGAAAAGTAAAAGGGGTAAATGGATGTTTATAAAATATTTGAGGGATGGGCATAGAAAAAGACATCTACAAAGAAAACTGAGAAAAATATTTTGGGGAAAAAGAAGAGTCTAGGAGGTGATGTCTGCGAAGGGAACAGTTTAATAATGTTAGATGTAGCAGAGAGATCAAGGAAGATGATACACAGAAATATGTGTTGGGTTTTATGACTGACCAAATGAGAAAGTAGTTACAAACACTGGACACAGCATGCTATAGTGGTGCAAGACTTGGATTTGAATTTTGGCGCCACTTATCTTGCTGTATTATGTTTGGAAATATTACTGGTTATTGTATTTTTGTTTCATATATAAATGTAAGTGTAAACAACAAAATAAAACATACATGAAATATACGTATATATCTGTTGAGACTCTTAGCTATTTGTTTCAAGAATATTCACCAGACATCTTGAAGCATAGTTATAATAGCTACTTTTGTCTGATAATTCCAACATCTGTGTCACATTGGGTTTATTGTTGTATATAGCTTGTCTTTTGTCTTGTGAGTTGCTGATTTCCTTACTCTTCCTGTGTTGAGTAAGTTTGAATTGTATATTAGACATTATTTCTATTTTTGAGACAGGCTCTGTTGCCCAGGCTGTAGTGCAGGGGCACAATCTCGGCTTACTGCAACCTCTGCCTGCCAGGTTCAAGCTATTCTCACATCTCGGCCTCCCGAGTAGCTAAAATTATAGGCGAGCACCACCATGCCCTGCTAATTTTTTTTTTTCTTTTTTTGAGATGGAGTCTCGCTCTGTTGCCCAGGATGGAGTGCAGTGGCATGATCCCAGCTCACTGCAACCTCTGTCTCCCAGGTTCAAGTGATTCTCCTGCCTCAGCCTCCTGAGTAGCTGGGATTACAGGCACTCACCACCACGCCTGACTAATTTTTGTATTTTCAGTAGAGATGGGGTTTCACCATATTGGCCAGGCTGGTCTTGAACTCCTGACCTCAAGAGTCATCTGTCCGCCTCGGCCTTCCAAAGTGCCGAGATTACAGGCATGAACCACTGTGCCTGGCCAAGATGAATCATGGGAATTCCTCCCATGCTTGTAGGACCCCTTGCAAGGTTAGCCACTGCTGGTATTACCACAGCTGCTCCCATGCGATTGCCTGGGGCAAGGGCGGAGAAAAAGGAAAGGGGGGAAAAACCCAGATAATTTTCTCTCCCTCTATCCAACCTTTAGAAATGCCCTCTTTACTGTGCCTCAGACCAAAAAATATTTTTCTCTTGGAGCACTTTCTGCCTGCACTTAGTCTGCAGTTCCGGGTTTTGGGCTGCCTTTAAGTCCAGGCTCAGGGGAGCTACCAGAGGGAAACAAAATCAGGAAACTCACTGCTGGACTAGTGTGGTACTGCTAGTTGTGCTTTCCTCCCCAGGCCAGGCCACCTGCTACCATTTTCGGAGTCCTCAAATAGCTGCTTCATGCATTCTGTCCAGGTTTTTAGTTGCATTCAGTGGGAGAGACAGAATGGACTTTGCCTACTATGTCTTTACCAGAACCAGAACACAGATATTACTTTAATTTTATTATAATCATATTGTTTACTTGTTTTGGTTAAGAATTTATTGTGCACCTATGATTTAGTAGGCTTTGCTATACATTTACCAGGAAATGGATAATCTTAATGTGCTTGCAGTAGGTCACAGGTAGTGAAGGGATGTGGGGATGGAGGGAGAAAGTAAACAATTGCATATGTATTAGTAGTGAATAATTGGGTTATTAATTTTAGCTTTTAAGACGTAATTATAAGAAATATATATAGAATTATAATAACTTGAAATAAGAAATAATTTATTATTATATACTTGTTTTTCAGGTCTTAGAAAAATACCCCAATACACCCATGAGTCATAAAGAAATTCTTCAAGTTATCCAGAGAGAAGGACTAAAAGAAATCAGGTGAGTTATTTAAATATTTTTAGTAATAATTATAATACTTGATCAGAGTATTTGGTAGTATATAATAGTATACTTTAGTCCTGAAGATTAATTACTTAATAATAAATGCTTTGTTCTGATCAGATGTCAGATCTTTGGCATTTTTTAAGTCATTACATAGTTTTAAAACCAGAAAGTTTTAAACCAGAAGGTTTTAAAACCAATTCTTAGAGGGTAGCTATCTTTAAGCCCATGCACTTTAATTTTTAGGAAGACCTGGAGCCATCTTCAAGCCTTCATCTGTCTCTTTAGGCTTTTTGATTTAATAAACTTGGTCATTAGTGATAAAAATTACTCTCATACAGGGAGAGTCCTAGAGGTAGACAGATAGTCCCAGAAGAAATAATGCTGGCTAAAAAGGATAAAATGAAAAAGAACTGTAAAGCAGTATATATGTCAAATAATAGTCTTAACATGTTCAAATATAATAGACTTGGGCCATTAGTACAGGATCAAAGATAACACAGACTTTAATTTCTAAGAACCTTATTATATTACAATAGCAGGCCAGGCATGGTGGCTCATGCTTGTGATCGCAGCTGTTTGGGAGGCTGAGGTGGGAGGATTGCTCAAGGCCAGGAGTTTGAGACCAGCCTGGCCAACATAGTGAAACCTCATCTCTACGAAAAATTGTATTAACTAGATGTGGTGGTGTGCTCCTATAGTATTTCAGAGGCTGAGTTGGAGGATTGCTTGAGTCCAGGAGTTCGAGGCTGCAGAGTGCTAAGAAGGTGCTATTGTACCCCAGCCTTGGTGACAGAGCAAGAAGCTGTCTTGTAAAAAAAAAAAAAATTACAGTAATACTTAATAGTCAATGTGTGTGTGTGTTTTTTTTTGTTTTGTTTTTTTTGTTTGTTTTTTTTTTTGAGACGGAGTCTGACTTTGTCACCCAGGCTGGAGTGCAGTGGCACGATCTTGGCTCACTGCAACTCTGCCTCCCGGGTTCAAGCATTTCTCCTGCCTCAGCCTCCTGAGTAGCTGGGATTACAGACACGCACCACCATGCCTAATTTTTGTACTTTTAGTAGAGACAGGGTTTCACCATTTTGCCCAGGCTGTTCTCAGACTCCTGAGCTCAGGCAATCTGCCTGCTTTGTCCTCCCAAAGTGCTAGAATTACAGGCATGAGTCACCATGCCTGGCCAATAGTCAGTGTTCTTAATCAAGACTCTCTATCATCAAGAAATGTTAAAATTATATTAAGTATGCTCTGTATATTAAGACAGAAATTTGGGAGTCTATGTTAGATTTTCATTAAGATAGGAAAAGTTTGCAGTGCTTTCAAACTACTGGTTTTCAACTATAGGTGGCATTGTGTAACACTCTTGGAGAAAGAGTTTAGAATTTTGGGGGGCTGTTTTTGAGTATCACAGTGATTGGGGTAGGGGAACACAATGGCATTTAGTGGGCAGGTAACAGGAATGCTAAATTTGCATTGTGTTGGACGTTGCTTCACATTGAATAGTTTTTCATCTCAGGTGCCAATAGTGTTCCCATTGAGAAACAGTAAGCTATGCCCAAATATTTGTAAATAGACAGTGTATTTCTTGATGAATAGCCATTGCATGTTCTAGATTTTATTTCTCATTTTTTCTTTCTTTCTTTCTTTCTTTTTTTTTTTTTTTTTTAAGAGATGGAGTCTCATTATGTTGCCCAGCCTTGAGTGCAGTGGCTGTTCACAGCCATGATCATGGTGTACTGCAGCCTTCAACTCCTGGCCTTAAGTGATTCTCTCATCTCTGCCTCCTGAAGCTGGGACTATGGGCACTCATTTTCTTTTCTCTGACGTGAAATTCTAGTTGAGTTTTTTTATTTGCTCTCCCTTTCTAAAGCAGTTTAAATTCTTTTTTGATTTATAGTCAAACTTCAGTAGGTTGAAATAAGTTAGGTTTGCTTCATTGGTATGAAAAAGTAAAATATATTAGTTTACCTTACTTTATATAACACATCCCTGAAAAATTGAGTGTAAACATTTTAAAATTAAAACATTAAAATGCATTTGAAGGCCAGGTGCAATGGCTCACGCCTGTAATCCCAGCACTTTGGGAGGCCGAGGCAGGCCGATCACCTGAGGTCGGGAGTTTGAGACCAGCCTGGGCAACATGGTAAAACCCCGTCTCTATTTTTTTTTTTTTTTTTTTGAGACGAAGTCTCTCTGTGTCGCCCAGGCTGGAGTGCAGCGGTTCCATCTTGGCTCACTGCAATCTCCGCCTCCCAGGTTCACCCCATTCTCCTGCCTTAGCCTCCCGAGTAGCTGGGACTACAGGCACCTGCCACCATGCCTGGCTAATGTTTTTTGTATTTTTATTAGAGACGTGGTTTCACCGTGTTAGCCAAGATGGTCTTGATCTCCT